>NC_000010.11:18494848-18646363 GCF_000001405.40 Homo sapiens | reverse complement strand
AGTAAGAAAGTGTACTTGGAGGAGGTTTTAGGCTGTGGATTTCTTTTTCCTTTCACGTTGAAAAGTTCACGTGTCCTAAAGAGATGTCCTGAATAGGATGATATAAAAGTAAGTGTTTTCTCCCCAATATCTGTGCACCACATATTGAATTATTATTATCATTATTTTTTAGATGGAGTCTCGCTCTGTTGCTCAGGCTGGAGTGCAGTGGTGCGATCTTGGCTCACTGCAACCTCTGCCTCCCAGGTTCAAGCGATTCTCCTGGCTTAGCCTCCCGAGTAGCTGGGATTATATGCACTCGCCACAATGCTCGGCTAATTTTGATATTCTTAGCACAGATGGGATTTCACCATGTTGGCCAGGCTGGTCTCGAACTCCTAACTTCAAGTGATCTGCGTGCCTTGGCTTCCCAAAATGTTGGGATTACACGCGTGAATCCCATATATCTCCGTGCCTGGCCTGAAATTTAATAATATAAAATTTAATTAGGCTGGTGACAATATGGAGAAGCTGGAATCTTCAAACATTGTAGGTTGAAATGTAAATAATATGATCTCTTTGGAACATTGGTGGTATCTTAAAAAGTTAATCATACTCTAAAACCCAGCAATTCCACTCCTAGGTATATACTCCAAATAAATGAAAACATATGTTCATATAAATTCTCCAGCATGAATGTTCATAGCAGCACTACTCATAATAATCAAAAGGGGATACTCCAAATATACATCAGCTCTTAAGTAGATAAACAAAATGTGATATATTCATACAGTAGAATCCTTCAGCAATAAAAATTATGAACTAGAATGAACTGATACATGCTACAGTATGGATTAACCTCAAAAATATTAAAGAAGGTAGACACGGATGCTACGTATTGTTTCAAATTTTGGATTTTTTAGCTTTTAGAATATTTGCATGTATATAATGAGAGATAAAGGATGTGGGACCCAAGTCTAACATGAAATTCTTTTATGTTTCATATTCACCTTGTATACATAGCCTGAAGGTAATTTTATACAATATTTTATATAATTTTGTGCAGGAAACAGTTTATATACATTAAACCATCAGAAAGCAAAGGTGTCACTATCTCAGCCATGTGGACAATCTGGTTGTTTGACATCACTATCATTCCTGACTCTGAATTTATATACAGAGAAAATTGTATTTATATACATTTTCTTTTTTTTTTTTTTTTTTTTTGAGAGGGAGTCTCGCTCTGTCAGCCAGGCTGGAGTGCAATGGCGCGATCTCAGCTCACTGCAACCTCTGCCTCCCAGGTTCAAGCAATTCTCCTGCCTCAGCCACCTGAGTAGCTGGGATTACAGGTGCGCTCAAAGACACCCAGCTAATTTTTGTATTTTTAGTAGAGACAGGGTTTCACTGTGTTGGCCAGGCTGGTCTCAAACCTCTAACCTCAGGTTATCCACCTGCTTCGGCCTCACAGAGTGCTGGGATTACAGGAGTGAGCCACCGTGCCTGACCTACACGTTTTCAGTTTTTTTTTTTTGTTTTTTTTTTGAGACGGAGTCTCGCTCTGTCGCCCAGGCTGGAGTGCAGTGGCGTGATCTTGGCTCACTGCAAGCTCCACCTCCTGGGTTCACGCCATTCTCCTGCCTCAGCCTCCCGAGTAGCTGGGACTACAGGCGCCCGCCACCACACCCGGCTAATTTTTTTTTTGTATTTTTAGTAGACACAGGGTTTCACCATGTTAGCCAGGATGGTCTCGATCTCCTGACCTCGTGATCCACCCGCCTCGGCCTCCCAAAGTGCTGGGATTACAGGCATGAGCCACTGCGCCCGGCCAACATTTTCTTGTACTTACTCATATGTAAGCACTTAACAGTAAAAAAAAAAAAGACATACCTTAATACAGTGAAAAAAATAATGTGTTCAGGGTAACTAAGCAGCACAGTAGCATCACCAGAGTACCTGAATTAGCTGTTCAACAACAACAAAAACACAATAGGCTGGATGAACTGTGTTGTGAGCCTGCATTTTGACTTTGACCAGTCTGGGTCAAGTATGGAATTTTCTACTTCTGGCATCATGTCAGCATTCAAAAAGTTTTGGATTTGTAACATTTCAGATTTTTAGACTAGGGATGCTTGGTTTGTATTCCATTTATGTGAAATGTCCAGAAAAAGGCACATTTATAGAGAAAGAAAGATAGTGGTTGCCTAGCAATGGGAACAGGGATTGACTGCCAGTGAGCGTGAAGGATCTTTGTGGGATGATGGAAATTGTCTAAAACTGGAGTACAGTTCTTTAAATTTACTAAAAATCATTGAATTGTACGTTTAAAATGGGTGAAATTTATGGTATGTAAATTATCTCAATAAGGCTGTTTTAAAATAGCATTGGGCAGAAACCAACATTAAAAGAAGCTGGTGATATACTTGGTTTGGAAAAAAACGTGTGTTATGAAGGGTATGTACATGTGTGGTTTTATGGGTTTTATTTATATATTAACATGCTTCTAATCGAAAGGGAGAGACAATGACCTTTGGCTTGAGAAGCTTTGATCTCTGTATAAGATATTTCTATAGTCTAAATCAAATGTTACTTATAAAACAAAACAAAAATCAAAGTTCATTATCTTCTCTTTGGCAAGATTTGTTCCCTATAATTGATACTGTAAGGCTATCAAAATGATGAAGGAGGGAGGGAAAGAGAAAGGAAGAAGGATTTGATTGATTGAGGTGGAATTTATCTTTCAGATTGCTTATTAGTTATCTGTTGGATAACTAGACCCTTTGGAAGAAGCAGAAGTTCAGAGAGCTGGTGACTTGGTAGATATGAAGTTTTATTTCTAAAATATGCACGATTATTTTCTGTTTCCTTATCAACTTAGAAATCAGTAAGTTGATCTCAGAAGTTTTCTGTAGATAGTGTATGAATCCTGTGGGGCAATGCAAACATGCATTGTGGTGATTGGTCTTTTATGTAGTATGTGAAAATGGAGTTGATAAACCCTAACCTACGAGGCAGACTTGTTGTCAGATATTTGCGTGCTGCCCTCTAATAGAGTATACGGTCCCTGTCATCCAGTCCCCTATGCAGCTGTTTTTTATTCTGTGTAGGGTGTCCAATTGTCTTCTGCTTGTGACAGTGGTATGCTGGTACATATTTAACAAACCCTTTCTGGGAAAAATAACCCCAATTTGTGGTGTTTGTTGATTTCTGTGGTATAAATACTCACCATGTTCCCTGGTAGCTACATGTGTGACCATGGAATTGGAAAGAGATGCATGCAGTGGCTCTCCTGAGCTGGTGTGAGCTGGCTCCCGCACCTGTACCTGCTTTCAGTGTGATAATCTTCTGGTTCCCTTATAATAGAGGATACTGAAAATCCCAAACCTCTACCATAAACATTTCTTTTCCTCACCAAAGCTGACATGGATGCCAGTGTTGATTGTGTATATTAGGTAGTATTTATCAATAGTAATCTCAGTCTTTAACATCTTATTCAGAAACTTTTCTTAAAGGAATACTACATGTAATTCTATATTAAATAAAAGTTTCTAAAGTAAATCATTTAGGGTAACCACGGTTTGTGTTTATAATGCCAAATAGTAAGCAAAATTGAGTCTTATAAGGAAGTTAGGATACTTCAGAATTAAAATAGAGAAAACATTGTTGTTTTGAGGTCTTTTGGATTTTTACAGTATCCCGTGGAATAAGGTGAAAATGCCCCAGAGCTACTAGGGCTTCATGCTGTGGTAGATGATGATACTGAAAAGTTCCATAAGTTGAAATGTATCAAATGTATGGATTACTTTATAATCATGTTTATCTTTAACAGCAGTTTAATGGATTAAGTGTTCCTATTCTTCAACATCCAGACCTTCAAGATGTGTTACTTATTCCTGTTATTGGACCCAGGTTTGTAAGAACTTCATTTCCAAATTATATTATTCTCAATAAAAGTTTGTCACAGGGAGCTTTTTAATTGTTCAGTGATAATACTAAGTTTCTCCATTGTTAGCAACTTTCTATAGATAACAGGAATTCAAAACTTCATAAATGCAGACTTTAGACTCTGTCATGGAAAATAATACAAAAGAAGGCTAGGAATGGGCCCAAGGATCTTGAGAATAATGCATTTTAGGTCCATTTAGTGCAGTGATGTTTTCCCCCCCCCACTTTCTGTGAAGTTTTATTTCATTTGTTTACTTGTATTTCATATGAATTTTCAGTGCTAAATTAAAACTCTTTTTTGAGCTGCAACAAAAATATAGAGTAACCTGTTTTCTACTTTCATAGCTGATATGTTTGTAAAATTTTATTTTTTGAGAAAGCGTCCTGCTCTGTTACCCAGGCTGGAGTGCAGGGACACAAGCATAGCTCATTGCAGGCTCGAACTTCTGGACTCAGGCAATTATACCACCTCAGCTTCTGAGTAGCTGGGACTACAGTTGCGCACCACTGCACCTGGCTAATTTATTTTTTATTTTGTAGAAACAGTCACACTATGTGTCCCAGGCTGGTATTGAAGTCCTAGCCTCAAACAATCCTCCCACCTTAGCCTCTCAAAGTATTGGGATTACTGATGTGAGCCACGTTGCCCAGCCTGTAAAATTTTATTCATAATTCAACAATTATGTTAAACTACTGTGTCCCATTTATGTTCTGCGCGTTTACGTATTTGGAAAGCATATGTTTGAAAATTGAAAAATAGGTTTCAGGCTGGATCTGGTGGCTTACTTATTCCTGTTATCCCAGCACTTTGGGAGGCTGAGGTAGGCGGATCCCTTGAGCCCAGGGGTTGGAGACCAGTCTGGGCAACATGGCAAAACCTTACCTCTAGTAAAAGAAATTACAAAAATTAGCTGGGTATGGTGGTGCTTACCTGTCGTCACGGCTATTCAGGAGGCTGAGGTGGAAGGATCATTTGAGCCTGGGAGGTGGAGGCTGCAGTGAGCCATGATTGTGCTACTGCAGTCCAGCCTGGGAGACAGAGCGGGACCTTGTCTCAAAAAAAAAAAAAAGGAAAAATAAGTTTTCATAGTATAATGATTATAATGGAGTTTTATTCCTATGGAGCATTTTAAAATTCCTAATTATAGTCTAAAGTCTTTTTAAACTCCTAAGAATTATAATAAATATAGAAATGCTTTTGTTAAAATTGAAGTTTGTTAAAACTTCAATTTAGTGGGCAGCAATAGAGCAGTGGTTTAATAAACTATGATTTGTCCATGCAATGGGATAGTATATGGCCTTTAATATGGGAGAATTCTACTTACCAATCAGAGAAGATGTTTATGATCAGTTTTTAAGTATCAAAAGCAAATTGCTATACTTGGGATAATTACTTTTTTTGCAGTTAATAAAAGTACACAACTGTGGATTTATGTATATTTATTTACATGTAAAAAAACATCTGGAAGCTGTAACATACCCACCTTTTAATAGTGGTTAACTCTGAGGAAATTAGATTGGGAGAGAGGGGGGAAATAAAAGGAAATTTTCATGTGTAATATTTTTGTTTTTTTTTTTTTTACTATAAGAATGTATTTTTGCAATTAAAGTTGATTTGTATAGGCTCATTCTATTTAGTTTAATTTTTAAAGTTTTTCATCTTGTATTCAGTTGTTTAAAGGTGAAAGTTACATACAGTGAAACGAAGAGATCTTAAATGTTTAGTTTGTTGGGTTTTGACAAATATGTACAACTGTGCAGCCAAGACCCACCCCAGTCAAGATAGAGCATTTCCATTATCCCAGAAACATCTCTTGTACTCAGCTACCCTACCAGGAAGCTGCTCTTCTGATTTCTATCATCTCTTAGTTTTGGACCAGTTAGCTGCTACTATAATAGACCATAATCACAGATCTTTGGAGGTTACTACACTCCTTATGAGGATGCAAAATTGTACT
Source organism: Homo sapiens (assembly GCF_000001405.40). Classification (NCBI taxonomy): domain Eukaryota; kingdom Metazoa; phylum Chordata; class Mammalia; order Primates; family Hominidae; genus Homo; species Homo sapiens. The sequence goes on along the minus strand of NC_000010.11, from coordinate 18,640,481 downwards.
TATTTAGGTTCAAACTTTGGCCATTTCTTATTCTGTTAAACACTTTTTCTTTATTCTTTAGTTTTATTTAGTTTCCCTAAAGATAGAGTTAAATTAGGTTTTTCTTTATAGAAGCAAGTAAAAATTAGAGTTGTACATAAGTATAAAAGTAATCATCTGTTACATCTCCTGTCCCACCTCACCTCCCACTTTTGTTTCTCTGAGCATCAAATTTGATTTTTTATAGACCGTCTCTGTGCTTATAGCTGCATACATGAATGCACATGCGTAATCATGTGTACTCATTTTTAGAAAATAGAAAAGATTACAATGTTCTGCAATTTGCTTTTGTGTTCACTTAAAAATGTATAATGGATATCGTTCCACGATTATGTAACACTATTTCATTCTTTTTAATGGCTGCATGAACAGTATATTTTATCATTTAGCTTAGTTTAAATTTTCAATCCTCCATTGATAGACATTTAGTTTTTTCCTGTTTTTCATTGTTACGAGAGGTGTTAGAGTGAATATTTGTGTACTTGCATAAGCATGTCTGCAGAACAAACTGATATGACACAGAATAACCAGTTCAAAGGTCTGTGCTTATTTTAGTTGGAGACATATTACCAGATTACCCTCTACAAAGTTTTACCAGTTAATGTTTCAGCAGTGTATGAGAGATTTTGATGCTTTCATTCTTGCCAATACTGGCTATTTTAGGTCTCTAAAATATTTGGATGATTTAACTTTAATTATTTTCAATACTTACTTTTACATGGCCTTAATCATCCTTTCATTCTGTTCTTTGTAGTGATCTAAGCTACTCATCAGAACATGAGTGAATGTATAAATACAAATGGTGAGCTATTGCAGGGAAGCCTGAAAAAATTATTCACATACCCACCTTTCATTCTTAAAAAGAATAAGTCAATTACTTTTTGTTTTTTTAACTCCTGATTTTTATTAAGTATCTGTTTTTAAAATTTTTTTGTTTTTATTTTTTTTGAGACGGAGTCTCAAGTCTGTCACCCCGGCTGGAGTGCAGTGATGTGACCTTGGTTCACTGCAACCTCCCCCTCCCAGGTTCAAGCAGTTCTCCTGACTCAGCCTCCCGAGTAGCTGGGGCTACAGGCGCATGCCACCACACCTGGCTTCATTTTTGTATTTTTAGTAGAGACTGTGTTTCACCATATTGGCCAGGCTGGTTTCCAACTTCTGACTTCATGATCCGCCTGCCTCACCCTCCCAAAGTGCTGGGATTACAGGTGTGAGCCACCGCACCCGGCCTATTAAGTCTCTTTTTGACTTTCCATTATGAGAAATGAGGAGGTTCCTGGAGTTAAATTTTCCCTAAAATTCCTACCAGCTAATTTGTATTTACTGTTGTTGTTTTTTGTTTGTTTGTTTGTTTGAGACGAGGTCTCGCCGTGTTGCCCAAGCTGGTCTCAAACTCCTGAGCTCAAGTGATCTACTCTCCTCGGCCTCCCAAAGAGCTAGGATTACAAGTGCCAGCCACCATGGCCGGCCAGTTTTTTTTTTTTTTTTTTTTTTTAACATTGTCAAGCTTTATAACATTGTTATTTCCCAAGTATAATTCACATACATGTGGTGCTTGCTTTCAGTCCTTATGGCACAGTTTCTCATTTCTTATCTTTATTAATGTCGTTGTTGGTGAGTACAGTCACTTAGCAGATTTCCCGCACCCCCTGCCCTTTCCCTAAGTGTGCCTTTTATGTACTGCGTTACTTTCTTACTTGAGAATGTCTGCCTGTTGCCTTTATGTTTATACAACAAGTTGGCTGAGTCTGGTTGTTTCAGGCCACATAGTATTTCCCTTAGCACTTTGTAGACATTGTTTTTATAACCTGTGGCATCAAATGTTATTGTGAAGAAATCTAAGGCCCACCAAAAACTTTTCCTCCTTGTAACAGTACCTTGTCTTTTGCTTAGAGACCTGTGGGATTTTTAGTTACTGAACTTCAGACATTTGGCCAGTGTAATGCTTGATTTTGATTATTTCCTCTTAGTTCTTCTTTTTTGTTTGTTTTGTTTTGTTTTGAGATGGAGGCTCACTCTGTTGCCCAGGCTGGAGTGCAGTGGCACGATCTTGGCTCACTGCAACCTCCGCCTCCTGGGTTCAAGTGATTCTCCTGCCTCATGCTCCCGAGTAGTTGAGATTACAGGCAGCTGCCACCATGCCCAGCTAATTTTTTGTATTTTTAGTAGATGGGGTTTCTCCATGTTGGGCAGTCTGGTCTCAAATTCGTGACCTCAGGTGATCCACCCACCTCAGCCTCCCAAAGTGCTGGGATTACAGGTGTGAGCCACCTCACCTGGCCAACTTTTGCCATTTCTTATTATGTTAAACACCTCTTCTTTATTCTTTAGTTTTATTTAGTTTTCCTAAAGATAGTTCACTTAGGTTTTTCTTTATAGAAGCAAGTGAAAACTAGAGTTGTACATAAATATAAAAGTAATCATCTGTTACGTCTCCTGTCCCACCTCCCAATTTTGTTTCTCTGAGCATCCAATTTGATATTTTCTGAACTGTCTCTGTGCTTACATCTGCATACATGAATGCACATGTACAGTCATTTGTACTCATTTTTAGAAAATAGAAAAGATGATAATATTCTGCAATTTGTTTTGTGTTCACTTAAAAATATATAATGGATATCGTCTCACAATTATATAACACTATTTCATTCTTTCTAATGGCTACATTAACAGTATGTTTTATCATTTAGCTCAGTTTAAATTTTCTATCCTCCATTGATAGACATTTAGTTTTTTCCTGTTTTTCATTATTACCGGAAGTGTTGGAGTCAATATTTGTGGACTTGCATAAGCATGTCTGCAGAACAAACTGATATGACACAGAATAACCAGTTCAAAGGTCTGTGCTTATTTTAGTTGGAGACATATTACCAGATTACCCTCTACAAAGTTTTACCAGTTTGTTTCAGCAGTATATGAGAGATTTTGATGCTTTCATTCTTGCCAGTACTGGCCATTTTAGTTCTCTAAAATATATGGATGATTTAACTTTAAATTATTTTCAATACTTACTTTTATGTGGCTTTAATCATCCTTTCATTCTGTTCTTTGTAGTGATCTAGGCTACTCATCAGAACATAAGTGAATGTATAAAATACAAATGGTGAGCTATTGCAGGGAAGCTTGAAAAAATTATTTAGGATTGTAAATTCACATACCTACATTTCATTCCTGAAAAGAGGCCGGGCGTGGTGGCTCACGCCTGTAATCCCAGCACTTTGGGAGGCCCAGGGGGGTGGATCACCTGAGGCCAGGAGTTTTAGACCAGCCTGAGCAACATGGTGAAACCCTGTCTCTACTATAAATACAAACATTATCTGGGTGTGGTGGTGCATGCCTATAATCCCAGCTACTTGGGAGGCTGAGGAAGGAGACTCGCTTGATCCCAGGAGGTGGAGGTTGTAGTGAGCTGAGATCTCGCCATTGCACTGGAGCCCGGACGATAAGACTGAAACTCCATCTCAAAAAAAAAAAAAAAAGTCAATTCCTTTTTTTTTTTTTTTAACTCCTGATTTTTATTAAGTATATATATTTTTAATTATTTTTATTTTTTTGAGATGGAATCTTGGTCTGTCGCCCAGGCTGGAGTGCAGTGAAGTGACCTTGGTTCATTGTAAGCTCCGCCTCCCAGGTTCAAGCAGTTCTGCCTCAGCCTCCCGAGTAGCTGGGACTACAGGCGTGTGCCACCACGCCCGACTAATTTTTGTATTTTTAATAGAGACTGGGTTTCACCATATTGGCCAGGCTGGTCTCGAACTCCTGACCTTGTGATCTGCCCGCCTCCACCTCCCAAAGTGCTGGGATTACAGGCATGAGCCACTGTGCCCAGCCCATTCAGTCTCTTTTGACTTTCCATTATGAGAAATGAGGAGGTTCCTGGAGTTAAATTTTCCCTAAAATTCCTACCACCTAGTTTGTATTTACTGTTTTTTGTTTTGTTTTGTTTTTGAGATGGGGTCTTGCTGTGCTGCCCAGGCTGGTCTCGAACTCCTGAGCTCAAGTGATCCACCCTCCTTGGCCTCCCAAAGTGCTAGGATTATAAGTGCCAGCCACCATGGCCGGCCAGTTTTTTTTTTTTTTTTTTAACATTGTCAAGCTTTATATCATGTTATTTCCCAAGTATAATTCACATGGATGCAGTGCTTACTTTCAGTCCTTATGGCACAGTTTATTTCTCATTTCTTATCTTTATTAATGTCTTTGTTGGTGAGTACAGTCACTTGGCAGATCTCCCGCACCCCCTGCCCTTTGCCGAAGGTTACCTCTTATGTACTGCGTTACTTTCTTGATTGGGAATGTCTGCCTGTTGCCTTTATGTTTATACAACAAGTTAGCTGAGTCTGGTTGTTCAGGCCACATAGTATTTCCCTTAGCATTTTGTAGACATTGTTTTTATAACCTGTGGTATCAAATGTTATTGTGAAGAAATCTAAGGCCCACCAAAAACTTTTCCTCCTTGTAACAGTACCTTGTCTTCTGCTTGGAGATCTGTGGAATTCTTACTTATTGAACTTTAGACATTTGGCCAGTGTAATGCTCGATTTTGATTATTTCCTCTTAGTTCTTCTTTGTCTTTTTTTTTTAAAAAAAACGACAAAAAACAACAACACAGAGTCTCACTCTGTCACCCAGACTGGAGTGCAGTGGCAGGATCTCGGCTCACTGCAACCCCTGCCTCCCGGGTTCAAGTGGTTCTCCTGCCTCAGCCTCCCGAGTAGCTGGGATTACAGGTGCCCACCACCATACCTGGCTAATTTTTGTATTTTTAGCAGAGACGGAGTTTTACCATGTTGGCCAGGCTGGTCTTCGAAATCCTGAACTCAGGTGATCCACCCACCTTGGCTTCCCAAAGTACTGGGATTACAAATGTGAGCCACCACACTCAGCCTATTTCCTCTTAGCTTTTGATGAGACACAGTGTAGCTTTCCAGTCATAGGTCTTCCATTATTTCTTTGAATATTTTTTCTTACCTTTTCTGTATTCTCTGTTATAAAGGCAGCAGGACTTTGTGTGCTGCGTTTCTGGCACAGATATTACCTACATCAGAGATTCCCAAGACAGCCCTCAGGTTTAGTGATTGGCTAAGACTCACAGAACCTATCATACAGTCACACTAATGGCTAAGGTTTATTACATGAAAGCATACAAAAGCAAAACCAGCAAGGGAAAAGAGGCATGGGGTGAAGTTTGGAAGAAACCAAACACAGGCTGTCTCAGTGAGGTCCCATAGGACATGCTTAATTCCTCCAGCACCTAATTGTGACATGTAAAATAGTTGTCTAGAAGAAAAGCTCATCAGAGGCTTGGTGCCCAAGGGTTTTATTGGGCTGGTCACATAGGCACCCTCTGCGTAGCACATACCAAAATCCCCAGACTCCCAAAAGGAAAGCAGGTGTTCCGAATAAACATGTTTGTACCTTGTACAGAGTTTAGGAATTGTGAGCCACTCTTATTTATCATTAGGGAAGGTTTTATGTCACCGTTGGGAACTGTTTCTCATTCCAGTTTCTAGCTGCTTAGCTAGCCAAGACCCATCCTCTCAAGCAACCCTTTCTAAGAACCGCAGTCTCCAGCCTGTTACTTTAACTTTTTTTTTTCTGTTAACACATTTTTCAACTCCATTCACTGATCTTTTTCTTCTGCATTCGTTTGTTTTTTGTTTTGTTTTGTTTTGTTTGTTTGTTTGAGACAGAGTCTCGCTCTGTCACCCAGGCTGGAGTGCAGTGGCAGGAGCTCACTGCAAGCTCCGCCTCCTGGGTTCAGGCCATTCTCCTGCCTCAGCCTTCCTAGTAGCTAGGACTACGTGCACCTGCCACCAAGACCAGCTAATTTTTTTTTTTTTTGTATTTTTTTTAGTAGAGATGTGGTTTCACCATGTTAGCCGGGATGGTCTCAATCTCCTGACTTTGTGATCCACCCTCCTCAGCCTCCCAAAGTGCAGGGATTATAGGCGTGAGCCACCAGGCCCGGTTTGTTCTTAAGCCTGTCTTGGTCATGGGCTCTGTTTCAAAGTGGCTCTCTTGTCAATAGTATAGGAGATAAGTTTTATCTTGTCTGTGCTTTGCTTTTCTTGTCTCTAAAATGGGGATTCAAAATACTGTCTAGTCATAGGGATGTATTACTTATCTCTGCTTCTAAATCTTTATTCAGAGGTTTTATTGTCCTTTATTTTCTCAGCTGCTGGTTTAGTTTGCCTTGTTCTTTTATCCCTTTTATGAGGTTTTTCCTTTAATTTCTCTGAAAATACAGAGGTACTTGAAATATTTTTCCTTTTGTTTGGTTTACATTTTTAAAATCTGCCTTCTGCTTTTTGTGTATGTGTGTGCCACCAATGAATGCAGAATGAATTATTTCTGCTTATCATGCATTGAATGGAAACAGTTACATCCTCATTTGCAGTTTGCTCAAGAAGGATCCAGAATGGGCGAAAGAGCATACCTATGGGACTAATCAAATATGTTTTCTGGGAAGTACTGCAAATCTTCTCTGCTGGCTCATCTGTAGTCCTGGTGAGCAGAGCCGAGGGTCTCTGTGAAGGCTTCAGCTCATACCTTTTTTCCAGGGGGCGGGGAAGGCTTTCTTATTTGTTTAATTTGTGCTTAGTTAACTCAAGTCAGGAGCAACAAAGTTGGTTGGTATTTCTTTTCTCTTTTCTTGGGCTGCTTTTAGATAGTTGATCCAGGTTTGTTAGAGAAAACAACAGATTGTCTGGTTATGCCATTTCTGACAATCTATTTCTTCTTTCAGACTTGACTCCTCTGAACAGGACACTGACAAGATATTCCTAGATTCTGATTTTTTTTTCACTAAGTGCATGGTCCTGATCCTAAGTAATAATTTGATTAGGCCTCCAGGAGCCTGTCCTGTTCAGAGACTCCACACCCTGCTGAGAAACTAGGTTTGGCTCAAATTTCACTGTCAGCCGGTTATTTCTCATCATCGGGATTATAGCTGTTTCTTAGTTTTATTGCAAATGGAATTTTCTCCTCAGATTTTATTTATTTATTTTATTTAATTAATTTATTATTATTATACTTTAAGTTTTAGGGTACATGTGCACACTGTGCAGGTTAGTTACATATGTATACATGTGCCATGCTGGTGCGCTGCACCCACCAACTCATCATCTAGCATTAGGTATATCTCCCAATGCTATCCCTCCCCCCTCCCCGCTCCCACCACCCCACAACAGACCCCAGAGTGTGATGTTCCCCTTCCTGTGTCCATGTGTTCCCATTGTTCAATTCCCACCTATGAGTGAGAATATGCGGTGTTTGGTTTTTTGTTCTTGCCATAGTTTACTGAGAATGATGATTTCCAATTTCATCCATGTCCCTACAAAGGACACGAACTCATCATTTTTTATGGCTGCATAGTATTCCATGGTGTATATGTGACACATTTTCTTAATCCAGTCTATCATTGTTGGACATTTGGGTTGGTTCCAAGTCTTTGCTATTGTGAATAATGCCGGAATAAACATACGGGTGCACGTGTCTTTATAGCAGCATGATTTATAGTCCTTTGGGTATATACCCAGTAATGGGATGGCTGGGTCAAATGGTATTTCTAGTTCTAGATCCCTGAGGAATCACTGCACTGACTTCCACAATGGTTGAACTAGTTGACAGTCCCACCAACAGTGTAAAATTGTTCCTATTTCTCCACATCCTCTCCAGCACCTGTTGTTTCCTGACTTTTTAATGATTGCCATTCTAACGGGTGTGAGATGGCATCTCATTGTGGTTTTGATTTGCATTTCTCTGATGGCCAGTGATGGTGAGCATTTTTTCGTGTGTCTTTTGGCTGCATAAATGTCTTCTTTTGAGAAGTGTCTGTTCATGTCCTTCGCCCACTTTTTGATGGGGTTGTTTGTTTTTTTCTTGTAAATGTGTTTGAGTTCATTGTAGATTCTGGATATTAGCCCTTTGTCAGATGAGTAGGTTGTGAAAATTTTCTCCCATTTTGTAGGTTGCCTGTTCACTCTGATGGTAGTTTCTTTTGCTGTGCAGAAGCTCTTTAGTTTAATTAGATCCCATTTGTCAATTTTGGCTTTGGTTGCCATTGCTTTTGGTGTTTTAGACATGAAGTCCTTGCCCATGCCTAAGTCCTGAATGGTAATGCCTAGGTTTTCTTCTAGGGTTTTTATGGTTTTAGGTCTAACGTTTAAGTCTTTAATCCATCTTGAAATGATTTTTGTATAAGGTGTAAGGAAGGGATCCAGTTTCAGCTTTCTACATATGGCTAGCCAGTTTTGCCAGCACCATTTATTAACTAGGGAATCCTTTCCCCATTGCTTGTTTTTCTCAGGTTTGTCAAAGATCAGATAGTTGTAGATATGCGGCATTATTTCTGAGGGCTCTGTTCTGTTCCATTGATCTATATCTCTGTTTTGGTACCAGTACCATGCTGTTTTGGTTACTGTAGCCTTGTAGTATAGTTTGAAGTCAGGTAGTGTGATGCCTCCAGCTTTGTTCTTTTCGCTTAGGATTGACTTGGTGATGTGGGCTCTCTTTTGGTTCCATATGAACTTTAAAGTAGTTTTTTCCACTTCTGTGAAGAAAGTCATTGGTAGCTTGATGGGGATGGCATTGAATCTACAAATTACCTTGGGCAGTATGGCCATTTTTACGATATTGATTCTTCCTACCCATGAGCATGGAATGTTCTTCCATTTGTTTGTATCCTCTTTTATTTCCTTGAGCAGTGGTTTGTAGTTCTCCTTGAAGAGGTCCTTCACATCCCTTGTAAGTTGGATTCCTAGGCATTTTATTCTCTTTGAAGCAATTGTGAATGGGAGTTCACTCATGATTTGGCTCTCTGTTTGTCTGTTGTTGGTGTATAAGAATGCTTGTGATTTTTGTACATTGATTTTGTATCCTGAGACTTTGCTGAAGTTGCTTATCAGCTTAAGGAGATTTTGGGCTGAGACAATGGGGTTTTCTAGATATACAATCATGTCATCTGCAAACAGGGACAATTTGACTTCCTCTTTTCCTCATTGAATACCCTTTATTTCCTTCTCCTGCCTAATTGCCCTGGCCAGAACTTCCAACACTGTGTTGAATAGGAGTGGTGAGAGAGGGCATCCCTGTCTTGTGCCAGTTTTCAAAGGGAATGCTTCCAGTTTTTGCCCATTCAGTATGATATTGGCTGTGGGTTTGTCATAGATAGCTCTTATTATTTTGAGATACGTCCCATCAATACCTAATTTATTGAGAGTTTTTAGCATGAAGGGTTATTGAATTTTGTCAAAGGCCTTTTCTGCATCTGTTGAGATAATCATGTGGTTTTTGTCTTTGGTTCTGTTTATATGCTGGATTACATTTATTGATTTGGGTATAATGAACCAGCCTTGCATCCCAGGGATGAAGCCCACTTGATCATGGTGGATAAGCTTTTTGATGTGCTGCTGGATTCGGTTTGCCAGTATTTTATTGAGGATTTTTGCATCAATGTTCATCAAGGATATTGGTCTAAAATTCTCTTTTTTGGTTGTGTCTCTGCCCAGCTTTGGTATCAGGATGATGCTGGCCTCATAAAATGAGTTAGGGAGGATTCCCTCTTTTTCTATTGATTGGAATAGTTTCAGAAGGAATGGTACCAGTTCCTCCTTGTACCTCTGGTAGAATTTGGCTGTGAATCCATCTGGTACTGGACTCTTTGGTGGGTAAGCTATTGATTATTGCCACAATTTCAGCTCCTGTTATTGGTCTATTCAGAGATTCAACTTCTTCCTGGTTTAGTCTTGGGATAATGTATGTGTTGAGGAATTTATCCATTTCTTCTAGATTTTCTAGTTTATTTGCTTAGAGGTGTTTGTAGTATTCTCTGATGGTAGTTTGTATTTCTGTGGGATTGGTGGTGATATCCCCTTTGTCATTTTTTATCGCATCTATTTGATTCTTCTCTCTTTTTTTCTTTATTAGTCTTGCTAGCGGTCTATCAATTTTGTTGATCCTTTCAAAAAACCAGCTCCTGGATTCATTGATTTTTTGAAGCATTTTTTGTGTCTCTATTTCCTTCAGTTCTGCTCTGATTTTAGTTATTTCTTGCCTTCTGCTAGCTTTTGAATGTGTTTGCTCTTGCTTTTCTAGTTCTTTTAATTGTGATGTTAGGGTGTCAATTTTGGATCTTTCCTGCTTTCTCTTGTGGGCATTTAGTGCTATAAATTTCCCTCTACATACTGCTTTGAATGTGTCCCAGAGATTCTGGTATGTTGTGTCTTTGTTCTCGTTGGTTTCAAAGAACATCTTTATTTCTGCCTTCATTTCGTTATGTACCCAGTAGTCATTCAGGAGCAGGTTGTTCAGTTTCCATGTAGCTGAGCAGTTTTGAGTGAGGTTCTTAATCCTGAGTTCTAGTTTGATTGCACTGTGGTCTGAGAGATAGTTTGTTATAATTTCTGTTCTTTTACATTTGCTGAGGAGAGCTTTACTTCCAAGTATGTGGTCAATTTTGGAATAGCTGTGGTGTGGTGCTGAAAAAAATGTATATTCTGTTGATTTGGGGTGGAGAGTTCTGTAGATGTCTATTAGGTCCGCTTGGTGCAGAGCTGAGTTCAATTCCTGGGTATCCTTGTTGACTTTCTGTCTCGTTGATCTGTGTAATGTTGACAGTGGGGTGTTAAAGTCTCCCATTATTAATGTGTGGGAGTCTAAGTCTCTTTGTAGGTCACTCAGGACTTGCTTTATGAATCTGGGTGCTCCTGTATTGGGTGCATATATATTTAGGATAGTTAGCTCTTCTTGTTGAATTGATCCCTTTACCATTATGTAATGACCTTCTTTGTCTCCTTTGATCTTTGTTGGTTTAAAGTCTGTTTTATCAGAGACTAGGATTGTAACCCCTGCCTTTTTTGTTTTCCATTAGCTTGGTAGATCTTCCTCCATCCTTTTATTTTGAGCCTATGTGTGTCTCTGCACATGAGATGGGTTTCCTGAATACAGCACACTGATGGGTCTTGACTCTTTATCCAATTTGCCAGTCTGTGTCTTTTAATTGGAGCATTTAGTCCATTTACATTTAAAGTTAATATTGTTATGTGTGAATTTGATCCTGTCATTATGATGTTAGCTGGTTATTTTGCTCGTTAGTTCATGCAGTTTCTTCCTAGTCTTGATGGTCTTTACATTTTGGCATGATTTTGCAGTGGCTGGTAGCAGTTGTTCCTTTCCATGTTTAGTGCTTCCTTCAGGAGCTCTTTTAGGGCAGGCCTGGTGGTGACAAAATCTCTCAGCATTTGCTTGTCTGTAAAGGATTTTATTTTTCCTTCACTTATGAAGCTTAGTTTGGGTGGATATGAAATTCTGGGTTGAAAATTCTTTTCTTTAAGAATGTTGAATATTTGCCCCCACTCTCTTCTGGCTTGTAGAGTTTCTGCCAAGAGACCTGCTGTTAGTCTGATGGGCTTCCCTTTGTGGGTAACCCGACCTTTCTCTCTGGCTGCCCTGAACATTTTTTCCTTCATTTCAACTTTGGTGAATCTGACAATTATGTGTCTTGGAGTTGCTCTTCTCGAGGAGTATCTTTGTGGCGTTCTCTGTATTTCCTGAATCTGAATGTTGGCCTGCCTTGCTAGAGTGGGGAAGTTCTCCTGGATAATATCCTGCAGAGTGTTTTCCAACTTGATTCCATTCTCCCCGTCACTTTCTGGTACACCAATCGACGTAGATTTGGTCTTTTCACATAGTCCCATATTTCTTGGAGGCTTTCCTCATTTCTTTTTATTCTTTTTTCTCTAAACTTCCCTTCTTGCTTCATTTCATTCAGTTCATCTTCCATCGCTGATACCCTTTCTTCCAGTTGATCACATTGGCTCCTGAGGCTTCTACATTCTTCACGTAGTTCTCGAGCCTTGGTTTTCAGCTCCCTCAGCTCCTTTAAGCACTTTTCTGTATTGGTTATTCTAGTTATAGATTCTTCTAAACTTTTTTCAAAGTTTTCAACTTCAATGCCTTTGGTTTGAATTTCCTCCCGTAGCTCGGAGTAATTTGGTCGTCTGAAGCCTTCTTCTCTCAGCTCCTCAAAGTCATTCTCCATCCAGCTTTGTTCCATTGCTGGTGAGGAACTGTATTCCTTTGGAGGAGGAGAGGTGCTCTGCTTTTTAGAGTTTCCAGTTTTTCTGCTCTGTTTTTTCCCCATCTTTGTGGTTTTATCTACTTTTGGTCTTTGATGATGGTGATGTACAGATGGGTTTTTGGTGTGGATGTCCTTTCTGTTTGTTAGTTTTCCTTCTAACAGACAGGACCCTCAGCTGCAGGTCTGTTGGAGTACCTGACCGTGTGAGGTGTCAGTCTGCCCCTGCTTGGGGGTGCCTCCCAGTTAGGCTGCTCAGGGGTCAGGGGTCAGGGACCCACTTGAGGCAGTCTGCCCGTTCTCAGATCTCCAGCTGCGTGCTGGGAGAACCACTGCTCTCTTCAAAGCTATCAGACAGGGACATTTAAGTGTGCAGAGGTTACTGCTGTCTATTTGTTTGTCTGTGCCCTGCCCCCAGAGGTGGAGCCTACAGAGGCAGGCAGGCCTCCTTGAGCTGTGGTGGGCTCCACCCAGTTGGAGCTTCCTAGCTGCTTTGTTTGCCTAAGCAAGCCTGGGCAATGGCTGGCGCCCCTCCCCCAGCCTGGCTGCCGCCTTACAGTTTGATCTCAGACTGCTGCGTTAGCAATCAGCGAGACTCCGTGGGCGTAGGACCCTCCGAGCCGCGGGATATAGTCTCCTGGTGCTCCGGTTTTTAAGCCAATCGGAAAAGCGCGGTATTGGGGTGGGAGTGACCCAATTTTCCAGGTGCCGTCTGTCACCCCTTTCTTTGACTAGGAAAGGGAACTCCCTGACCCCTTGTGCTTCCCGAGTGAGGCAATGCCTCGCCCTGCTTTGGCTCGGGCACGGTGCGCGCACCCACTGACCTGCGCCCACTGTCTGGCACTCCCTAGTGAGATGAACCCGGTACCTCAGATGGAAATGCAGAAATCACCCGTCTTCTGCGTCGCTCACGCTGGGAGCTGTAGACCGGAGCTGTTCCTATTCTTCTCCTCAGATTTTTATTCTTTTTTCTCCCCTTTTCATTTCCATGGGATTTAGAAAAGGGTGTTTTCTTCCTCTGATTTTTTACTAAAAGCTCGATATCACAGTTATTTAAAATACAAATGAATCAGTTAAACTTTATATACAGTAAACAATTTTAACAGTAATGCATCACTGAATTACTGGTTTCTTCAGTTTACTTGAAATGAGATTTAAAATAAAATTTTGGTTTCTTCAGTTTACTTAAGACGAGATTTCAGGTACTGGTGAAATATATTTTAATTTCTGGAAGAAGATTTTTGTCTGGTAATTTAATGACTTCAGGAGAAAACTGAATGCCAGACTTGTCTTGATAAAAGAGCCTTTAAAACATCTCAACCAGCATTTTGTAAAGGCTACATTTGGATCAGTAGAACTTTTTAGGCCAAAAATCAATTTGTAATTTTAAGGAATTTCTGTATTCTCTCAATTCGTGCTCCTCCCTTTTTGATAAAAGTCTTAAAATAGTTCAAGCAGGCCAGAACATTAATTTTCTTCCTTTCTTTCACAATTGAATATGTAATTCAACAGCATAAATCTCTTGAAATCCAAATGAGACTGGATTTGTCTTCTCTTTCAGCCTACTCGATTTCCATCTTTTTTTTTCCCCCACCCAGGACGGAGTCTTGCCCTTGTTGCCCAAGCTAGAGTGCAATGGCACGATCTCGGCTCACTGCAACCTCCACCTCCGTGTTCAAGTGATTATCCTGCCTCAGCCTCCTGAGTATATGGAATTACAGGCGTCTGGCATCACGCTGAGCTAATTTTTGTATTTTTAGTAGAGACAGGGTTTCACCATGTTGGCCAGGTTGGTCTCGAATTCCTGATCTCAGGTAATCTGCCTGCCTCAGCCTCCTAAAGTGCTGGGATTACAGGCGTGAGCCACTGTGTCCGGCCCATTAAGTCTCTTTTGACTTTCCATTATGAGAAATGAGGAGATTACTGGAGTTAAATTTTCCCTAAAATTTTACCAGCTAATTTGTATTTACTGTTTTTTTATTTTTGTTTTGAGATGGGGTCTCGCCGTGTTGCCCAGGCTGGTCTCGAGCTCCTGAGCTCAAGTGATCCACCCTCCTCGGCCTCCCAAAGTGTTGGGATTACAAGCAGGAGCCACCATGCCTGGCCAGTTTTTCTGTTTTTTTTTTTTTAAACATTGTCAAGCTTTGTAACATTGTTATTTCCCAAGTATAATTCACATGGATGCAGTGTTTGCTTTCGGTCCTTATGGCACAGTTTATTTCTCATTTCTTATCTTTATTAATGTCTTTATTGGTGAGTACAGTCACTTAGCAGATCTCCCGCACCCCCTGCCCTTTCCCAAAGTGTGACTCTTACGTACTGCGTTACTTTCTTGATTGAGAATGTCTGCCTGTTGCCTTTTTGTTTATAAAACAAGTTGGCTGAGTCTGGTCGTTTCAGGCCACATAGTATTTCCCTTAGCACTTTGTAGACATTGCTTTTATAACCTGTGGCATTAAATGTTATTGTGAAGAAATCTAAGGCCCACCAAAAACTTTTCCTTTTAACAGTACGTTGTCTTTTGATTGGAGATCTGTGGAATTCTTAGTTATTCAACTTTAGACATTTAGCCAGTGTAATGCTTGATTTTGATTATTTCCTCTTAGTTCTTTATCTTTTTTTTTTTTTTTTTTTTTTTTTTTTAAAAAAAAAACACATAGTCTCACTCTGTCACCCAGGCTGGAGTGCAGTGGCGCGATCTCGGCTCACTGCAGCTTTTGCGTCCCGGATTCAAGTGATTCTCCTGCCTCACCCTCCGGAGTAGCTGGGATTACAGGTGCCCACCACCATACCCGGCTGACTTTTGTATTTTTAGTAGAGACGGAGTTTTACCATGTTGGTCAGGCTGGTCTTCAAACTCTTGAATCGGGTGATCCACCAACCTCGGCCTTCCAAAGTGCTGGGATTTCAGGTGTGAGCCACCACACTCAGCCTATTTCCTCTTAGCTTTTGATGAGACACAGTGTAGCTTTTCAGTTATATAGGTCTTCCATTATTTCTTTGAATATTTTTCTCTTACATTTTCTGTATTCTCTTTTATAAAGACAGCAGGACTTTGTGTGCTGTGTTTCTGGCACAGATATTACCTGCATCAGAGATTCCCAAGACAGCCCTCAGGTTTAGTGATTGGCTAAGACTCACAGAACCTAGCATACGGTCACACCAATGGCTATGGTTTATTACATGAAAGCATACAGAAGCAAAACCAGCAAGGGAAAAGAGGCATGGGGTGAAGTTTGGAAGAAACCAAACACAGGCTGTCTCAGTGAGGTCCCATAGGACATGCTTAATTCCTCCAGCACCTAATTGTGACATGTAAAATAGTTGTCTAGAAGAAAAGCTCATCAGAGGCTTGGTGCCCAAGGGTTTTATTGGGCTGGTCACATAGGCACCCTCTGCGTAGCATGTACCGAAATTCCCAGACTCCCGAAAGGAAAGCAGGTGCTCCGAATAAACATGTGTTTGTACCTTGCTTGTACAGAGTTTAGGAATTGTGAGCCACTCTTATTTATCATTAGGGAAGGTTTTATGTCACTGCTGGGAACTCATTCCAGTTTCTAGCTGCTTAGCTAGCCAAGACCCATCCTCTCAAGCAACCCTTTCTAAGAACCGCAGTCTCAAGCCTGTTACTTTAATTTTTTTTTTCTGTTAACATATTCTTCAACTCCATTCACTGATCTTTTTCTTCCGCATTCGTTCTTTTTTTTTTTTTTTTTGAGACAGAGTCTCGCTCTGTCTCCCAGGCTGAAGTTCAGTGCCAGGAGCTCTCACTGCAAGCTCTACATCCCGGGTCTACGCCATTCTCCTGCCTCAGCCTCCCTAGTAGGCTACAGGTACCTGCCACCATGCCCGGCTAATTTTTTTTTTGTATTTTTTTAGCCAGGATGGTCTCAATCTCCTGACCTAGTGATCCACCCTCCTCAGCCTCCCAAAGTGCTGGGATTATAGGCATGAGCCACCGCACCCAGCCCATTTGTTGTTAGGCCTGTCTTGGTCACTTTGGCTCTGTTTCAAAGTGGCTCTCTTGTCAATAGTATAGGAGATAAGTTTTATCTTGTCTGTGCTTTGCTTTTCTTATCTCTAAAATGGGGATTGAAAATACTATCTAGTCATAGGGATGTATTACCTCTTTCTGCTTGTAAATCCTTATTCAGAAGTTTTATTGTCCTTTATTTTCTTAGCTGCTAGTTTACTTTCATCTTTGTTCTTTTATCCCTTTTTTGAGGTTTTTCCTTTAATTTCTCTGAAAATACAGTGGTACTTGAATTATTTTTCCTTTTGTTTGGTTTACATTTTTAAAATCTACCTTCTGCTTTTTGTGTATGTGTGTGCCACCAATGAATGCAGAATGAATTATTTCTGCTTATCATGCATTGAATGGAAACAGTTACATCCTCATTTGCAGTTTGCTCAAGAAGGATCCAGAATGGGGGAAAGAGCATGCCTATGGGACTAGTCAGATAAGTTTTCTGGGAAGTACTGCAAATCTTCTCTGCTGGCTTTTCTCTAGTCCTGGTGAGCAGAGCCGAGGCTCTCTGTGAAGGCTTTAGCTCATACCTTTTTTCCAGAGGGTGGGGAAGGCTTTCTTTTTCATTTAATCTCTGCTTAGATAACTTAAGTCATGAGCAGCAAAGTTGGTTGCTATTTCTTTTCTCTTTCCTGGGCTGCTTTTTGGCAGTTGATCAGGTTTGTTAGAGAAAATAACACATTGTCTGGTTATGCCATTTCTGACAATCCATTTCTTCTTTCACACTTGTCTCCTCTGAACAGGATACTGGTAAGACATTCCTAGATTCTGATTTCTTTTCCACTAAGCCTGTGGTCCTGGTCCTAAGTAATAAATGTTTGATTAAGCCTCCAGGAGCCTCTCCTTTTCAGAGACTCCACACCGTGCTGAGAAACTAGGTTTGGCTCAAAGTTCACTGTCAGCCAATTTTTTCTCATCATCGCAATTATAGCTGTTTCTTAGTTTTATTGCAAATGGAATTTTCTCCTCAGATTTTTATTCTTTTCCCCCCCTTTCATTGCCATGGGATTTAGAAAAAGGAGTTTTCTTCCTCTGATTTTTTAGTAGAAGCTCAATATCACAGTTATTTTCATTATAAATGCATCAGTTAAACTTTATATACAGTAAACAATTTTAAAAGTAATGCATCACTGAATTACTGGTTTCTTCACTTTACTTAAAATGAGATGTAAAATAAAATTTCAAATGAAATTTAAAATAAAATTTTGCTTTCTTCAGTTTACTTAAAATGAGGTTTCATGTACTGGTGAAATATATTTTAATTTCTGGAAGATGATTTTTGTCTGGTAATTTAATGACTTCAGGAGAAAACGGAATGCCAGACTTGTCTTGATACAAGAGCCTTTAAAACATCTCTCAACCAGCGTTTTCTAAAGGCTACATTTGGATCAGTAGAACTTTTTAGGCCAAAAACCAATTGGTAATTTTAAAGAATTTCTGTATTCTCTCAATTAATGCTCCTCCCTTTTTGATAAGTCTCAAAATAGTTCAAGCAGGCTAGAACATTAACTTTCTTCCTTTCTTTCACAATTGAATATGTAATTCAACAGCATAAATCTCTTGAAATCCAAATGAGACTGGATTTGTCTTCTCTTTCAGCCTACTCGATTTCCATCTTTTTCCCCCCAAGGCGGAGTCTTGCTCTTGTTGCCCAGGCTAGAGTGCAATGGCACGATCTCTGCTCACTGCAACTTCCACCTCCGTGTTCAAGCGATTATCCTGCCTCAGCCTCCTATCTGGAATTACAGGCGTCTGCCACCACGCTGAGCTAATTTTTGTATTTTTAGTAGAGACAGGGTTTCACCATGTTGGCCAGGCTGGTCTCGAACTCCTGACCTCAGGTAATCTGCCCACCTCGTACTCCTAAAGTGCTGGAATTACAGGCATGAGCCACTGTGCGCAGCTGATTTCCATCTTTTGTAGTTGCCTTGTCACTCATGTCAGTACTGTCTTAGATTGTTTCTCATGGTTCTGGAGGCTGGAAATCCACGACGTGTGCCAGTATGCTTGGGTTCTGGTGAGTGCCCTCTTCTGCGATGCAGATAGCTGACTTCTCATTGTATTCTCACATTGCAGAAAGCAAGTGGGTAGCTCTTTGGTCTCGTATAAAGGCACTGATCCCATTTATGAGCATTCTACCCTCATAACTAATTACCCCTGAAGACTTCTCCAAATACCATCACATTGAGTTCGGGTTTCAGCATGTGAATTTTGGGGACACAAATATTCCATCCATAACAAGCACTTTAAGATTTCAATTTTTGTGTGTGTGTGTCTGTGTGTGTGTGTGTGTGTGTGTCATTCGTATATATATATATATATGTGTGAATAGGGTTATTGCAATAGAATATTTAAGAAATGCTGTTGCACAAGGACTACTGATTAAATAAAGGTGGCAGTCCTGCTGCAAAGAAGTATTTGGCATGCAGCAATATCATGTGCTGTTTCACAGTTTCATCCATCACCTTCCATTTGGTGTAGGGTTGTTAGTATGTGTAGGGTTGTGAATATGTGCAGTTAAAATACCAAATAGATAAAAATACATGATTTTAGATTCCTTAACAGGACATTCCCATAATCTGTTTTTAATTCCTTAGCTACTTCATTTTTTAGCTATTCTAATACTTTTCTCTCAATCTAGGTGTATTTATAGTTTTTTTCTCCAACCTATATTACTAAACTGTTGGAACGTAATCTTTCTTTAATGTTGTTGATGCACTCTATTTGGAAACATTTCAATAAAAATCAAGCTTTTAGCATATTTTATGGCCTTGCACCAACTTTTACGTTTGCTCTTTTAGTTTTCCTAGTAAAAACTCCCTTTCAACAATGCTGACTTAAATATTGATACTTGCATATGACATACTGTGTTTTTATATTGTCAGTCCTGGTGTCTATGGATCCCCAAGACCATTCCTTGGTTCTGTGATTCTCTAAGAGGAATTAGGGAATTCAGCACATACTTGTACTTACGGCTATGATTTGTTACAGTGAAAGAATATGAAGCACAATCAGCAAAGGGAAAACCATCACAAGCTTCCAGAGTCCTCTTCCAGGGGAGTCACACAGGACTCCCACAGGAAGTCCCCCAGTGCTGAGCTGTGACCACATGAGACTCACTGCCAGGATTCCTATTCAGGGCTCATCATGTAGATTCCCACTGCCTGGTACATACCCACATTCTGGATTCTCAGAAGGAAAGCTGGTATTTACTATAAATCATAGTTTGTTCAATAATTCAGGCACAGTGAGCCACTCTTAGCAGTTAATAAGTAAACCTCCTGAAATCTCAGTTCCCAGATGTCAGTCAAGGGCCAGCCTTGTAAGCAGGCTTTTCAAAGATAACAGATCAGGCCTACTATGTTAACTTTTTTCTGCACAGTTCTCTGTTCCAGAATTCATCCTTTCCCCTCCATGTTATTTTCATAAAATCTAACACTACAGATTTCACTTCCACAAAACATGTTTTTGAATTTGTGCTATATGTGAGATGTGATGGTGTTACAAAGATGAATGAGACATAGTTCTATAGTCTAAAGTCAGGAGACTTTGGTACAAGTCAGACTGTTATGATAGTCACAGTAGAAGTATAAATTAAATGCTATTGGAGCATAGAATAGGAAGGACTGAGTACAAAGAAATTGTTAAATATTTTCTCTAAGCAGATATTATTTCATTTGAGTCTTGAAGGTGAGGAGAAATTAGGCCGAAGGGCTGTTAAGGTGGGCAAGGTTATGCTAGGCAGAGAGAAGGCATGAGGAAAGACATGAATGCATGAAACATTGGTGGCTGCTGATAAAAGTGATCAGGTTTGGCTATTTGTTTTCAGAGTTGGGGGATGGGTGAAAGATGAAACTGAAGAAGTTGGGAGAGGCAGATATGAAGTATGAAGATTTTTTTGTACCAAGGAATTTTTTTTTCATAGACTTAAGAAGCTAAAGAATTTTTATTGTCGGGCGCAGTGGCTCATGCCTGTAATCCCAGCACTTTGGGAGGCCGAGGCGGGCGGATCACGAAGTCAGGAGATCGAGACTATCCTGGCTAACACGGTGTAACCCCATCTCTACTAAAAACACAAAAAATTAGCCGGGTATGGTGGCGGGTGCCTGTAGTCTCAGCTACTCAGGAGGCTGAGGCAGGAGAATGGCGTGAACCCGGGAGGTGGAGCTTGCAGCGAGCCAAGATGGCGCAACTGCACTCCAGCCTGGGAGACAGAGCTAGACTCCGTCTCAAAAAAAAAAAAAATTTTTTTTATTAGTAAAAATTAGATGTGTATTTTAGAAATATAATAGTGGTAGTGGTCTTCCAAACTGCTTGGAGATCATGACCCATTAGTAACTTGTGAAATCAATTTAATGTTTTCAATGAATATTTAAAAAAAAAGGGATGTTTTATAATATATTGCATCGCACATAGTAAAAATATTTAATGAAATGTTATGTGTGATACCACACACACAGACATGTATGTGTAGTTTCTTATATCAAGATCTCAAATGATATAAAAACTTGAAATAAGTTCTTTTATCAAGTGTGTTTCTTACATCAACTGACAGTCAAAAGTTTCAGAAATTTTTTCAAAAGTTGAATTGCAAACCTGGAGAAAAGTTAGAAAAGTATTTCCGAGTTTTTTAGCTTCAATAATATGTATGGTGAATTAGATAACATGAAGATGTTTTTGCTACATACACCGAGGAGTGCTAAGTAAAAAAGAACATAGTAGGCCACAAAATGATGTAGTTGAGTGATTAAAAATGTAGTTGATATATTAGAGGTTAGGAATGCAGAATAATTGAAAAGAGAACAGCAAGCATGTGAGTTATTATTGGGGGGTTGAAGGTATGGGAAAGGAGGTGGTCTTTCTTCTAAATTTAGGGTCTTTGGTTTAAACAATTAAGTGTTAATAGTAAGGGTGAGAAATACCCAGTAGTCATTACAAGGCAGTAATTAAAAGTAGGTCTTTCTTGCCTTAGGATATAGGTTGGAGAAAAATGTGTTTCTGAGAATGCGCAGCCGTAAGTTCCCTCCGTCATAAAGGTCTGGAATGCAAATTGCTGCAACCTAAATTGGAACCTGCAAACTGGGAAATTAACTGTTTGGTCCCAAGCCAATTCCTGGGTACTTGGCAAAAACTAAGTGACACCACTCTGGAGCAGCACTCATTCAGTCCAAGCCAAACACTTGGCATTGTTAAAAGCTACACTGGGAATCAAACCACTATGAGTAAGAATCAGCATATATAATAAGCTGCAGGATTGGATTTCCCTCAGAACTTTTAACAAATAGACCTCTCTGGCATAGACTATAAAAACAGTTTTCTTCCAAGATCAGCTGAGATCGGGCATGTTCAGAGTGATATGGCTGTAGACAAAACAGTTTTCTTAAAATGATTAAAAATGAAAGAGTAAAACATAAAAGACCCTAAGGATAAAAAGGTAGAATTGAAAACAAATTTCTAAAAATAAATTATCATTAAAATTAAAAACTCATACAATGAATTAAACAGCAGATTAGACCCAACTGATGAGAAAGTTTTTGAATTAGGAGATGACTCTTAGGAAATTATCTAGAATGCAGCAGAGAGAAATTAAAAATATGAAAGTGAAATTGAGTCATGAAAAAGCACTTTACGTTTCTTTTTTTTTTTTTTTTTTTGAGATGGAGTTTTGCTCTTATTGCCCACGCTGGAGTGCAATGGCACCATCTCGGCTCACTGCAACCTCCACCTCCTGGGTTCAAGTGATTCTCCTGCCTCAGCCTTCCAAGTATCTGGGATTACAGGCATGCGCCACCATGCCTGGGTAATTTTGTATTTTTAGTAGAGACGGGGATTTCTTCATGTTGGTCAGGCTGGTCTTGAACTCCCAACCTCATGTGATCCACCCACCTCAGCCTCCAAAAGTACTGGGATTACAGGTGTGAGCCACTGCACCTGACCAGCATTTATATTTTTAATGAGTCTCAGGTATAGAGAATAGGAATAATGGGGGAAAGACAATAATCACAAGTGTAATGACCATGAATTTCTATCACTGATGAAAAATTTAAGAAGTGTGAGCTTGAAGCCAAAAGTAAAAGTAGATTCATGTCTACATACTTCAGAGTGAAGTTGCAGAACACCAAAGACAGAGAAAATCTGAAACCAGTGGTAAAAGGCAGGAAGCTATTTCAGTAATCACAAAGAGATATGTGTCCAACATCAGGAGATACGCCCACAAAACCTATCAGAACTAGAAGATAGCTTGATTCCTAAATCAATCAATGTGAAGGCTTAGGAGGACTTTAAGATGACGCTGAGTGTCTTAGTTTATTTTTTGCTGCTATAGCAGAATACCTGAGACTGGATAATTTATAAAGAACATAAATTTGTTTTTTGTAGTGTTGGAGGATACGAAGTCCAAGATCGAGGCATTTGCATCTGGTGAGGGCTTTCTTGCTGCATCTGTACATGGTAGAGGGCACAAGGGCAAGAGAAAGCAAACTCACTGCTGCAAGCCCTTTTTATTATAGCATTAATTCATTCATGAGGGCAGAGCACTCATGACCTGAACAGCTCCCAATAGGCCTCATATTCCAACACTGTTGCACTAGGGATTAAGTTGCCAGCACATGAATATTGGGGGACACATCCAGACCGTAACACTGAGGCATCTAGTTTGGTTATCTGGGCAGATAATGACGTCTCATTCAAGATTGGAAACAGGATGAAAAGATTTGGGATCCTGCCAAGGAGTGGAGGAATGGATGAGGGAAAACTGATTATTGTTTAGGACTTGTTGAGTTTGAAGTAACTGTGAGACGTCTCTATATAGCTGTCCGTAGGTAATTAGAAATACTAATTAAGAGTCTAAGCTGGGCGTGGTGGCTCATGCCTATAATCCCAGTACTTTGGGAGGCTGAGGCTGGTGGATCACCTGAGGTCAGGAGTTCGAGACCCACCTGGCCAACATGGTGAAACCCTGTCACTACTAAAAATACACAAGTTAGCCAGGTGTGGTGGCGAGCACCTGTAATCCCAGTTACTCAGGAGGCTGAGGCATGAGAATCACTTTAACCCAGATGGCAGAGGTTGCAGTGAGCCAAGATTGCGTCACTGCACTCCAGCTTGGGTGACAGAGAAAGACTTGGTCTCAAAAAAAAAAAAAAAAAAAACTAGAAAGGCTAAACATTAGAATTTGTGGATTGTTTTTGTGAGTGATTATTGAAATCATGAGATTGCCAAGGGATAGAATGCAAGGTGAGTAGAGATGGTCGCATGTTTTGGAACCTGGCGGGGAGAGCCTCTAAGAAGTAGGCAGAGAATGAGCAATGAGAATGTTTGGGACCAGGAAAGAGTGGGTATAAAGCTGAAAAATTAGTAAGATTTGATGAATTGGCGATCATGGAATTGAAGACAGGATGCACCTAATTCCCCCAGCAGTGAGTTGTGACAGCACATCCAAGGAAGCTTATTAGAGACTCATTGTTAAGGGTTTTTATTTAGGGCTGATCACATTGGGTCCCTGATCTTTGGAACCCTGAGTGTTAGAAGTAATACAGATTTTAGTGGTCTAAGAAATGAATGTGAGAAACTGGAAAAGACTCAAAAAGGTTGGGCAGCAAAGGAAGGAAAAAAGACTTATCTTCTTTTCCTGTCTTGTTTAAATTATTCATAATTTACCATGCAACAATTTACCACTTTAGAAATGTTTTTGTAATTCCTTGTGTATTTTTCTATTTTAGTCTTTGAAGACAGAGAAAGTCTATTTTTCTCCTAATGCTATGATAAACAGTAATGCTTGTTAAATGATTAAGCAATTTCTGGTGCCACTTTATTGCCTTCCAGCAGATGGACCTCTTGATTTTTTTCTTCCTCTCAAGTGCCCATCTTCGTGTTGCTGTTTTTTCCTGTTTCCTCTATATGTATGCCTCTCTTTTCAGCGTTTTCTTATGTATTCAGGACAGTTAAGACTAAAGAGGCATTAGAGTTCAGATAGAACACGGGAAAAATTGGTAGGCATTGGAGGTATGTTACTATTAAACTTCTTGTGTCTTACATTTCTAGAAAGAATATTAAAAAACAACAGTGTGAAGCCATTGTTGGAGCCCAGTGTGGCAATGCAGTTTTAAGAGGAGCCCATGTCTATGCCCCAGGAATTGTGTCAGCATCACAATGTAAGTATAATGTTTAGATTTGTCTTTAAGGTTCTCTAAAATTTATGTGCATTTTCAAATGGAAAATTTATTGATTTGTCACTAAGATATATTCCAAATTTTTCTTGGTCGGGTATTTTTCCAGCTTTGCATTTAGGGTTTTATCCAGTAAGGACTAACAAACTAGTCATCATATAAGGTTTTCTGATGGTTTTTTTTTTTTCCTTCCAAATAAGGATGTATTTGATGATGGTTGTTTTAGTGGATCATTACTGATAGAGTACGTCAATGAACTTCTGTTTTGTTTTCTTGACTGCATTGCCTTAAAACCTCAGAAAGCTGTTGTGTCATTAGTGAGAGAACATCCAGAACCTGGACTCTGAACATTGGGATGAAACTTGATACTCTTAATGTATTCACCCAGTTGGCGACATACCTGTGTTGCATATGCTTAGTAAGTTAGTCACTGTGGTTCAGTGGTACCTTATTGGACTTGAAATCAAGAAACAATTGCTTTCATCTGTAGAAAACGTATTCCGTCTCTGGGCCTCAGTTATGGTGTCCTTGAAATGAATAATTTGATCTGTATCAGAATTGGGTCAACTACTACCTCCTGGCCAAGTCTGGCTCATGTCTGTTTATGTGTGGCCCATAAGCTAAGAATGGTTTTTTCCTTTTTAAAATGTTGTGAAAAGATACACATATAAAGAAGAATATGCCACAGAGAACTTATGTGGCTACAAAGCCTAAAATATTTATTTGCCCTTTACAGGAAAAGTGTGTTGACATCTGATCTACATGATTTTAACAGTTCTCTTAGCTCTAGCTAATAGGCTGTTCGCTATTGTTGTCAGGTAATAGACCAAATAAATTTATGATAGATTAGGTTTAAAAATGTTTTTTGGAAGTGGAATATAATTTCCAATTATAAATAACACTGAGAGTTGTTACAGAAAATAAATGCCTACACAAACTGGATTTAATCAGCCATATAAAGCAACTCTGTACACTGTATACTGTAAAAGGTATTCTAAGTGTATACACACACGTATATATGTGTGCCTATATGTGTGTGTATATATATATATATATATATATGAATGACTATATATGCTTATCATTAAAGTCTGCCTTAATCGTGCTGTCATATCAAAATAGCAAATACAAACAGGGTTATGGGATTTAGAAATATTTCTTTGAAGGATTTTAGGGTACATTTTTGAACAGTCCTTTTGAAGGAAACTTAGAACTTTGAGGTTTGAGCTGAGATGTCAAGATTTATAAGAAATCTTTTAAGGCTTGGGGGAAATAATTTGGCTCAGCTTGAGATTTCCAGTTGAGGGTAGGATGTTTTGAAGCTATTTTATTTCTTTGTTTTCACTGAAAAAGATTCTTTAGTGAGTTTTATTGTTATGGAATATTTTAAAGTAAAAAGTCAGATTTTCTATTAAAGATTGAGGTAATGAGCAAGTTTGAACTGCTTCATGCCCACTATTGATGCCTCTAGAGATCACCGATCTAGCTCAAATAATTTTCACGATTCTTCTGCCAAAGTATAAATCAGTGTAATCTGATTTTCTTCTTTCTCTAGTTATGAAAGCTGGAGATGTTATTTCTGTATACTCTGATATTAAAGGAAAATGTAAGAAAGGAGCCAAAGAATTTGATGGAACAAAAGTATTTCTTGGAAATGGGATTTCTGAACTAAGCCGCAAAGAAATCTTCAGTGGATTACCTGAACTGAAGTATGTCATCAGGTGCTTTGGGGAAATCAGCATCCTTTTTGTGGGTCAATGAAAATTAAAAATAATGTAAAATGTATCTAGTTGCATTATATGAAATTTTTTTTTTTGGTATAAATCCAACTGGAAAAAAATTGTTTAAACCCATATTTCCATGATGTTTGGTCAAAAAGGGTAACTGATCAAATTAAAGAGCCTCATTAAGCAACCAGTTACATTTTAATTGTCAAATAATTTTACTTGTCCTTCTGAATTTTATTTTTTTCAAAATATTTTGCATCTTTGAAAAACAGTGCATTATGATGGAGAAAGAATTAGATGATCTATCCAGATCATTTTTAACGTTCTTATTTGTCAGAAAAAGTTTGATTTTAATATAAATTAAACATATTTTTTAATTAAAAATAAATTTTACCAGAAACCTAGCACTCACATGAATATTTGTGTTTAAAAATGAATGTTTAGGTTTGTTCAAACTAAATTAAAATATAGTCTGTTCTAAATCATTCCTGGTTGCTAGTGGCCCTAAATAAATTGGTGGAAAAATCCAGGCTCTTATTTTACTTAGTTTTTTCAGGCTTTTTGAGTTCTGTGGACAGCTCCATTACTCCAAAGTTCATGGCTGACATAGACATGCTGAAAGCTGTGAATTTCTCCCTTTAGAATTGGACGATATCCCTAATTGGTGGAACAGTTTTTCATGTTGCAACAGTTTGGGTTTGTAATTGAAATTCATTCGTTCTTCTGAAGAAGTTGACTGTTGGATTCCCTAGATCTAGGTAGCAGCACTTTCCAAATGGCCAAGAACAAAGATTTTATTCTTTTTAGAAGGCTTCATGAATATAAAGATTATGTGCATATATCTGCTGTGTTTATCTTTGGACCTGTAATTGGTAATTGATATTTTGACTGCCTCCATTAGTTCATTGTTAATGGTATACTTTTCATTCTTTTAGGTTATTTGATGTTGTTCCAGTTATCGTGCTGAATAATGTTTTCTGAACAATGTTCTGAATAATTTTTTGTTGGTGGAAGTTAGGAGGCAACCAACTTTCAGCCACCCTTTGGCCGGGCGTGGTGGCTCACTCCTGTAATTCCAGCACTTTGAGAGGCCAAGGTGGGCGGATCACTTGAGGTCAGGAGTTCGAGACCAGCCTGGCCAACACGGTGAAAGCCCATCTATACTAAAAATACAGAAATAAGCTAGGTGTGGTGGTAGGTGCTTGTAATCGCAGCTACTCAGGATGCTGAGGCAGGAGAATCGCTTGAACCCGGGGGGTTGCAGTGAGCCCAAGATTGCACCACTGCACTCCAGCCTGGGTGACACAGTGAGACTTCAGAATTTCAAAAAAAGAAAAAAAAATTGGTTTTTAAACTCAATTTATTCAGTTATACTGTTGGAAGTTTTGTCTCTTCCGGTGGAAGAAGCAGGCTGCTATAACAGAAATGCTACATGTACACCCTGTTTCTTATTTATATTCCTTAAAAAATTTTAAACCAACACAACTAATGGTACAATTGCTATTCAGTTAGTGAATTTGAGTCCTTTGCTTTCTTGAATTCCAGGTGGGTTGAATCATTCATAGATTCACGGAGGCAGATTAATTTACTAACAGACTGTGTTAACATACGCAATCTTGTACTTTGCATTATTATATGGAGATATGTGGCTACAAAAGTATTTTTTAAAGAAACATGTAATCTCATACCTGAATAATAATTGGCTTAAATTATTCTTCGTTATGTTAAGTTCAGTGATTTATAGCACTCACTTGTTCTGGTAGGCGTGGTCAGAAGGAGATAGTCGAAGAGCACCAGAATCTAAAGTAGTAGTTAGGAACTGAGTTAGGAAGACAGGCATGAACATTTTCAAGTTTCAGTATTTTTTAGAGGACTGGAGTCCTGCAAGTCAGAAAGTCATTTAAATTATGGAGTGATCAGACTATGGAATTCAAGATTTTCAATAATAGTTGTAGATTCTGGGTATTGATCAAGGTAAGAGTACCAGGTGTCACAACAAAGGACTGACTTTGCTTTTTTCTTTTAGAAATAGGGTCTCGCTCTGTCATTAAGGCTGGAGTGGTGTGATGAAAGCTCACTATAACCTTGAATTCCTGAGCTCAAGTGATCCTCCTACTTCAGCCTCTGAGTAGCTAGTACTATAGGCACATGACACCATGATCAGCTGATATTTTAATTTTTTTTTCATAGAAATGGGGGTCTTGCCATGTTGCCCAGTCTGGTCTTGAATTCTGGTCTCAAGCAGTTCTCCACCTTGGCCTCCCAAAGTGCTAAGATTATAGGGATGAGACGCCACACCCAGCCAGGACTGGCTTTCAAATGTGAGTCAGTGACATTTCAGAAGCTTCGTTTGTATATTTTCTGCTCAGGAGCAGGGGATATTTGCCTTGGAAGTGGATACAGTGGTTTGATTTGGTCCTGACTGGAGCAGCAACTGAGTTTTACCTCTGATTAAAAGTGTACATTCATGGATTTCAAGTGGTAAACAAATGAGTAAGGTAGTAAAGGGATGAGAAGAGGAAGAAAAGGAGTCAGCATTTATTGTATGCTAAATGCTGTTAGAACTGAGGGCGCCAGGCATGGTGGCTCATACCCGTTATTCCAGGAACTCCGGAAGCTAAGGCAGGAGGATCACTTGAGTCTAGGTGTTTGATGCCAGTCTGGGCAACATAGTGAGACTGTACACACACAGACACACACACACACACACACACACACCATAGTGAGACTCTGTCCACACACACACTTACCTGGCATGGTGGTGTGTGCCTGTAGTCGCAGCTACTGGGGAGGCTAAGTTGGGAGGATCACTTGAACCCAGTAGTTAGAGGCTGCAGTGAGCTATGATTGTGCCACTGCGCTCCAGCCTGCGTGACAGAGTGAGACCCTGTGTCTGAAAATAAATAAATAAAACCAACAACAAAACCGAGGGGAGTTTATAGTCATACCATTTCAGTAATAGTCCACGGGTATCTACTGACGTTATTTTACTCTAAAGACCAACATAAACTTATCCTGCCAACATTAGATAGAGTACACACCATCTATCTACACATGCATGTAGATGCATGTCTGCCAAGATCAACTCATAAACTGTTCCATAAGCTAGCTATGAACTTGTCTGCCATACTGCTTCTAAGACTTTATCTTTGCTCATCCTAATGGAGTCCTAATGGGACTCTCCTTGGATTGTACCCTTAAACTAGGTATAAGTTATGATTTTTAAAAAAAATTTTTTTAAAAATTTTATTTATTTGGGTGCTCGTTGCCCAGGCTGGAGTGCAGTGGCGGGATGCTAACTCACTGCATCCTCCAACTCCTGGGTTCAAGGGATCCCTCCATTTCAGTCTCCCGAGTAGCCAGGACTGACTACAGGTACACTCCACCATGCCTTTGTAATTTTTTAAATTTTATGTAGAGATGTTGCCCAGGCTGCTGTCAAACTTCTGACCTCAAGTGATCCTCCTGTGCCAGTCTCTCAAAGTGCTGGGATTACAGGCATAAGCCACTGTGCCGGCTTAAATCCTGATTTTTATACTTCCCTTTTAATGAGACTATACTTTTTTCTGTGCCGTCCTAATCCCCAGAACTCTTTGAATTTCTCCATGTTTCTCCTTTCGCTTGCTTTGTCTGCTTTGGCCTGACACACAAGGCCAGGCTTGGCTTTGTCTGACAGGATTTGCGTGTTCTTTCTCTGCTTCAGTAGCCTCTGACAACATCTCTGAGATTGTGATGTTTGTCTTGATGAGTCATTCTCCACCAGGCCATCTGAGTCCTGGCCCTTCCTGCTCTGATCATTTTCAATGCCACTCCTAAAATGGGACAAAGGTGGAAAAGGTTATCCTTGGGATTGTGTCAGTACCAGGCAATTATTCTATAAAGAGCTGACAGGAAGTAGTAAAGAATGAGGTGGTATTTGCTTTTTAGTCTGTTCAAATCTCTACAGAAACACATTTGTGCTTAAATGAAAAATTTATGTAACTTTTTCCTTTTTAGTTCTGATGGCTTCGTATTCTGCAGGTAAAAATTCAAAAACAATTCACAGGACTACTTTATGTATTTTGTTGTTTAATAAAAAGAGTTCTTTTTTTTTGAGACGGAGTTTCACTCTTGACGCCCAGGCTGGAGTGCAATGGCGCGATCTTGGCTCACTGCAACCTCTGCCTCCCAGGTTCAAGTGATTCTCCTGTCTCAGCCTCCTGAGGAGCTGGGATTACAGCTCCTCACCTGTCACCTGTCACCACTACAGCCTGTCACCACGCTTGGCTAATTTTTTGTATTTTTAGTAGAGACAGGGTTTCTCCATGTTGGTCGGGCTGGTCTTGAACTCCTGACCTCAAGTGATCCTCCCACCTCTGCCTCCCAAAGTGCTGGGATTACAGGCTTGAGCCAAAATAGTTCTTAAAAAGATAGAGCATCTTATGTTTGACAGGCTATTGGAGAACGTTTCTGGAAACATAGTTTGTATAGACCATGGAATTTATACAGACTAATGTTAGATTTCCTATTTTTCAGAGGCATGGGCATAAGAATGACAGAACCAGTATATCTCAGCCCTTCATTTGACAGTGTACTGCCCCGTTACTTATTTTTACAAGTAAGTATGTATAAAAGTAAAATATTTAGTGACATTGAAACATACATCAGTGAATTATTTGAAATCTAGGATATTTTAAAATTTAAGATTTTTTCTGTGGTCTACTTACATACACTGATCTACCTTTGGTTAAGCAGTAAGAAAAAACTTTACAAGCATTCTCCTTTCTTTTCTTTTTCTCATTTGATTTTTAAACTACTTTTTCTATCTTTCTTTGCCCAAAGGTGATTTAATAACTGATTAAAATGACTGCTTTCCATCTCAAAATACTAATCCCTGAATATTGCATGCATTTGATATACATGTGTGGTGTTCCATTAGTAAATCATTTGACTTGTTATAGTCTGCTGGTTTGGTAGTATTATTATAATTCACAATATAAGATGAAGTTACTGAAGAACAGATCTGTTAGGACTCTTGGCCTATGTCACACTCCTGGTAACTGGTGGTATCTGAACTCAAACCTAAGTCCAAATGTTGTGTGCTGCCCCACCTTCTCTGTCCAGTAATAATAATAATTATTATTATTATTTTGAGACAGGCTCTCACTCTGTTGTCTAGGCTGGAGTGCAGTGGTACAATCGTAGCTCACTGTAACCTCAAACTCCTGGGCTCAAGCGATCTTCCTGCCTTAGCCTCGCAAATAGTTGGGACCACAGGTGTGCACTACTATGCCCCACTCATTTTTTTGATGTTTTTGTAGAGATGGGGTCTCACTTTGTGGCCCAGGCTGGTCTCAAACTCGTGGCCTCAAGTGATCCTCCTGCCTTGGCCTCCCAAAGTGTTGGAATTATAGGTGTGAGCCACCGTACCTGGCCTTTGCCCAGTATTTAGCCCACAGACATTTTATGAATTCAGGGATTATTTCTGGTGTGAACAAACAGAACAACGGACGTTTATTATTATCTATTTGCACATTGGTGATGTTCTAACACATTAGGATATATAACCTAACATACAATTGTTTATGAATCATTTTGGGAATTTTCGTTTGCTAATTTTAGTTTCAGTGGAGTTTTTTTGTGCTTGTTTATTATGTAATTCATTTTCAAACACTTGTGTTCATTTGGCAACGTAGCCCTGAGTCATTGCTAGTGATACCTGCACTCCTTCCAGTTAATAATGTTTAATGCAATGTTAGTTTTCTCTTTGGTTTGACAGTACCTGCTCATCTCATAATTTACAGTGGTTTTTTTTTTTTTTTTTGAGACAGGATCTTACTCTGTCACGCAGGCTCGAGTGCAGTGGCATCATCTTGGCTCACTGCAGCCTTGACCTCCCAGGCTCAGGTGATCCTCCTCCCACCTCAGCCTCCTGGGTAGCTGGGACTACAGCATGCGCCACCGCACCCTGCTAATTTTTTGTATTTTTAGTAGAGATGGGGTTTTGCCGTATTGTCCAGGCTGGTCTTGAATTCCTGAGTTCAAGTGATCCTCCCGTTTTGGCCTTCCAAAGTTCTGGGATTACAGGCATAAGCCACCATGCCTGGTCATTATTTAGTTTTGACTTTATAAAAAGAGAAATCTAGTATAGTGCAGATTTTCTTTTTACACTTTTTTGCTATCTATAGCTGCACTCCTTCACCTTAAAATCAGTTTAATGATGACTTTATGAAATATTGTGAGTCATTTTGTGATTCATACTGTCCAGACTACCATAGAGCCATATTCTTTGTCACTGAATAGCAAGGGACATAAGAATTTCCTGCCAGAATGAAGCTTTTGCATCTGAGGGCAGAGTTTAACTTTTTGTCATTTCTCTAGTGAAAGCTGTTTTATTTCATGTAATCTATTTTGATGGCCAGTTTCTGATGGCCATTGAAACTTATAAGGGATGCTAATGGTAATCACAGCTAACACTGACTGCTTATTGTAGTCCATGTACTGAGCTGAGTGTTTTACATATATTATTTCATTTACTTCTTACAAACCTTCAATTTCATAGATAAGGAAATAGAGGCTTAGAAAAGTAAAGTGCATAGCCTGTAGTAGGTATTAGTAGTTTTTCAGTGATTAAAGGAGTAGTTTGTTGTGTGCTGCATAGGTAAAAATTTGCAGAGTCAAAATTTGCATTCAGGTCTTTCTGATTTCAAGCCTGTATTCTTGGCCCCATGCCAATGCTCCAGATGTAACCCTTGGAAGATCTGCATCTGAGTCACCAGCAGGGCCTTTTGAAAATGCAGTTCTTGGGTCCTAATTTAGATGTACTGAGTTCCAAGTTCAGGGGGTAAGGGCTTTAAGCAATTCATATATTACATTAAATTTCTCAGTTTCTTTGACGGTTTCCCAAAAACTCTGTGGTCAGTGTTTAGTTAGTTGATCTTTTTGTGTTATAACTTCCTTTTCAAGCTGGTTCAGAACTACCAGATTCTTAACTGGGTCTTACCTGATCCATAAAATCTAAATAGCTTAATTCAATGCAGACCAGAACCAGGTGATATTCATTTCTCTAAGGAAAATTTTGAAAGAATGTGCAGAAGAGTAAGTTTAAGAAGAATGTGGAATTTTAAAAATTGATAATTATCCTTGAATTTTTACATACATAATGATTCTCACAAATAGAACAAGTTTCACATTTACATATAATAGTAATATAAAACGCATTTGAAATGTTTCAAGAAGTTGCCTTTGTTTTCAGGCAAACATACTTGAATGCTTAAGTGACTATAAAGTGGATTAAATGACAGTCCCTGAAAGTACATCATGTGAGAGGCATCATCTAAATGAAAATGCTTTTCAATAGTGTTAAATCATTGCAATAGATGCTGATACTTTAATAATATATTGAAAATTATTTTTGCTTTTGTCAGTATCCATGCTTCTCTAACAGCTAAGAAGCTCTTGGTAGCCATAATTTGCAGTTTTCATTTTGGTTTCAGGGATTGATTAACTTAGATCTAATATGGAAGATGCCCAAGCCTTTCATAGGTCTCAGCCAACACAGGGAGCCTCATTATCCCACAAATTCTATAATTTAATAACACCGTTGACCAAGACTGCAGTGAATTTGTATGTATCAAATCACTTGAAAAACTTGTAATATGGGTACCTAGAGTCTATTCCTGGATTTTCTTTTTAATAAAGATTTTTTTTCTACTTCCTCTCATCAGGTTGAAAAGTTTTTATTTAAGAATAATTTCAGAATTACAGAATAGAATTTTAGAATTATAGATTTGCAAAGACAGTCATTTCTATATACCCTTCACCCAGTTTCTCCTAAGGGTAATATACTACCATGGTACATTTGATACAGCTTAGAAACCAACACTGGTGTGTTACTACGTTATGAATGTTAGGTACGTAGCTCCAAATGCTGTGAATATCACATTACCCTAAACTCCAACTGGTATTCAGATTTCACCAGTTTTTCTCATAATGTCCTATTTGTGTTCAGGATCCGATCCAGGATCCCACACTGCATTTAATCATGATGTCTCTTCTGGCCTGCGATAACTATCTTGCCTTGTTTGTAAGACCTTGACAGTTTTGAGACTAAGGTATTTTGTTAATGTCACTCATTTTGGCTTCATCTAGGCTGGGGTTGTTGGATTTTTGAGAAGAATACCACAGAGATGAAGTGTCCTTATCAGGGGGTACATGATAACCCCCTGGAGATTGTGAGTAGGCCTACAGGAATCTGCTGTTTGTGTATTTTGCACTTTTAAGTGTATTGTGATACAGACCCAGATTTGGGAACCATCATACAAAGAAGTGTCCACTTTAGTTTTTTTCTTTTTTCTAACATAATGACCAATAATTTTAAAATATTTATTATGCATCAGGCACTGTGCTGAACCCTTTTAGGCCTTGTGTAATTTCTTTTTTTCCCCCATCATGTCTATCTCTGATCCAGCAATCTCACTTACTATCTTCAGTCAACTTTTATTTCTTATATATATTCTTTCCGTTTTGTCATAAGTTGTTTAATAGAATTGTTCCATTTTGGAGAATAATGTTTGTCTCTCATGTGCTTCCATTATTTCTGTAGACTGAATGTATTTTTTTATTAGATCCCTGTCATAAGAAAACTTGCTAGAATCCTTAGGTTGTATGATGTTTCATACTGTTGCACCCCCTTACCATTACTTATTGATGCTGTAGGATGTTTTCCATGTGTGCAACAAAAGTTGACGTGTAAGCCTCAGAGTGTCATATCTGGAGTTAGACCACAGCCATGTGTCTCTTACTGGTGATGTTTGTTTTGACAGCCTATCTAGACGCCAACTGATTTCACCACAACACATATATTTATGTTTTCTCCCCCTTATAACTAATAACCAGTCTGTGGGGAGACATTTTAAAAAATCATTCAAATCCTGCTCCTAATTCAAATTTCCCCCTCGATTTTGCATCCATTGATGATTTTTGCCTGAGCTAGTTGTTACTGTTACAGAACAATGATTTTCCAACTTTGCCAGTCAGGAATGGGCACTTCAATATAAGAGGACTCCCTTCTTCCCTTTTTATTTACTTACTTATTAACAGCGTATACTCACAAATTCCTATTTTTTCAATGATTTATAGTTCATTACTATATTTAATTATTTTGGTGCTGAAATTGTCCCAGATTTGGCCTGTAGGAGCCCATTCCCAAATTAATTTTAATCCACATAGTATGAAACAATTTTTCTACACTTTTTTTTTTTTTTTAAGGGAGTCTCGGCTAGGCACGGTGGCTCACGCCTGTAATCCCAGCACTTTGGGAGGCCGAGACGGGCGGATTACGAGGTCAGGAGATGGAGACCATCCTGGCTAACACGGTGAAACCCCATCTCTACTAAAAATACAAAAAATTAGCTGGGCGTGGTGGCGGACGCCTATAGTCCCAGCTACTCAGGAGGCTGAGGCAGGAGAATGGCATGAACCCGGGAGGCGGAGTTTGCAGTGAGCCGAGATCACGCCACTGCACTCCAGCCTGGGTGACAGTGTGAGACTCCGTCTCAAAAAGAAAAAAAAAAAAAAGAAAGAGTCTTGCTCTGTCACCCAGGCTGGAGTGAAGTGTCACGATCTCGGCTCACTGCAACCTCCCCCTCCTGGGTTTAAGCAATTCTCCTGCCTCAGCTTCCCAAGTAGCTGGAGCTACAGGCATGCGTCACTACACCCAGTTAATTTTTGTATTTTTAGTAGAGATGGGATTTCACTATATGTTGGCCAGGCTGGTCTTGAACTCCTGAGCTCAGGTGATCCACCCGCCTCAACCTCCCAAAGTGCTGGGATTACAGGTGTGAGCCACCATGCCTGGCCTTCCTACACTTTAACGTACAAATATAATAAAAATCTTGTGGGATTTGTTAAAATGCAGATTCTGATTCATAAGTCTGGAGTGGATTCTGCGATTCTGTATTTCTAACAAGTTCCCAGGAAATTTGGATTCCCCTGATTTGCGGGCCATACTTTGAGTAACAAAGCAGTGGGAAGATCTGAGAAGCTTCAGTCTCTAAAATTGAAGAGCATCCCTTCACATTTTACATCTTCCTATTATGCTGCTGGATTTTTTGCATGATAGAACTGCTAATTTAAATAAATGTGTATTGTGGAAACTTGCTTAGATCCTTGAAGTATAAACATGTAGGTAGAATAACTTTGTGATCATAAGGTTTCTTCTCTATCTCACCTGTCATCTATCACTTGTAAGTGATACTTCTAACAAGTCTGATGCTTTTTGATATGGAGGCTCACTCTGTCGCCCAGGCTGGAGTGCAGCGGCACGATCTCAGCTCACTGCAGCCTCCGCCTCCCAGGTTCAAGTGATTCTCCTGCTTCAGCCTCCCGAGTAGGTGGGACTGCAGGCCCCCGCCACTATGCCCAGCTAATTTTTGTATTTTTAGCAGAGACAGGGTTTCACCATGTTGGCCAGGATGGTCTCGATCTCTTGACTTCGTGATCTGCCTGCCTTAATCTCCCAAAGTGCTGGGATTACAGGTGTGAGCCACCACACCCGGCAGTCTAATGCTTTTAAGTTGTGTGTAGTTAGTGCTCAGCTGTTGCTTTTGGCAGTAACTCACTTTCAGCTTATTAAATATAAAAGAAGGATTTCATTTTACTGTTGTTATAATAAAAAGGGTGTGTGGCCAGGCACGGTGGCTCACGCCTGTAATCCCAGCAGTTTGGGAGGCTGAGGTGGGCGGATCACCTGAGGTCAGGAGTTTGAGACCAGCGCAGCCAACATGGTGAAACTCTGTCTCTACTAAAAATACACACACACAAAATCAGCTGGGCATGGTGGCGGTGCCTGTAATCCCAGCTATTTGGGAGGCTGAGGCAGGAGAATCACTTGAACCCGGGAGGCGGAGGTTGAAGTGAGCCTAGATTGCACCATTGCACTCCAGCCTGGGCGACAAGAGCGAGACTCCATCCCAAAAAAAAAGAAAAGAAAAGAAAAGAAAAAGAGCGTGCATATAGTTCAGGAGTGCTGTTCTTGCACCTCCACCAATATGTACATTCCATTGAGCAGAGAGATCTTATTTACTTTCTTAACTCCAGTGCATAGACCAATGTCTGATACATAGTAAGCACTCATTACATTTTGTGGAGTAAATGAATAAACCATCTGTCTACTGTTTTGATTCTGTATTTTATTTTTTTGAGACAGTGGCATAATCTCAGCTCACTGCAACCTCCGCCTCCCAGGTTCAACCGATTCTCATGCCTCAGCCTTCCAAGAAGCTGGATTACAGGCGTGAGTCAACCACATCTGGCTAATTTTCATATTTTTAGTAGAGACAGGGTTTTGCCATGTTGGCCAGGCTGGTCTCGAACTCCTGGCCTCAAGTGATCTGCTTGCCTCGGCTTCCCAAAGTGTTGAGATTACAGGAGTGAGCCACTGCGCCCGACCTAATTCTGAATTTTAAAAGCATTAATAGGCTAGGACTTATGTAGAGGTTGTATATTTTGGTCAATAAATGTTTATTAGTCTGATATTAGCTTGATAAGCCTCATAAATAACTTTGACTTACCACTTGTAGCTACTTCCTTTTTGAGATGGAATACTATGCAAGAGTAACTGGTAGTTTCAAAAAAATGCTGAGAAAAATGCATCCCTCACCGATATACCCTTCAACCCACTCAGACTCTGAAAAGACCCAATAGTAAAAAATAGATTTTTCTGGAAGTAGGGAGGAGACTGGACTGCCAAAGGCTGCCAGGCTGCCCCGTGAGTATGCAAAACCCACCATAGGCTGGG
This sequence comes from Homo sapiens, assembly GCF_000001405.40. NCBI lineage: Eukaryota > Metazoa > Chordata > Mammalia > Primates > Hominidae > Homo > Homo sapiens. Next base: position 18,602,662 of record NC_000010.11, on the reverse strand, counting down.
CGCGGTGGCTCATACCTGTAATCCCAGCACTTTGGGAGGCCAAGGCAGGTGGATCACTTGAGGTCAGGAGTTCGAGACCAGCCTGGCCAACATGGTGAAACACCATCTCTACTAAAAATACAAAAATTAGGCCGGGTGCGGTGGGTTACGCCTGTAATCCTAGCACTTTGGGAGGCCAAGGTGGGCGGATCACGAGTTCAGGAGATCGAGACCATCCTGGCTAACACGGTGAAACCCCATCTCTACAAAAAATTAGCCGGGCGTGGTGGCGGGCACCTGTATTCCCAGCTACTCGGGAGGCTGAGGCAGGAGAATGGCATGAACCTGGGAGACGGAGCTTGCAGTGAGCCGAGATTGCGCCACTGCATTCCAGCCTGGGCAACAGAGCAAGACTCCGTCTCAAAAAAAAACAAAAAAAAAAACCCCACAAAAATTAGCTGGGTGTGGTGGTGCATGCCTGTAATCCCAGCTACTTGGGAGGCTGAGGCAGGAGAATCAGTTGAACCTGGGAGGCAGAGGTGCAGTAAACTGAGATTGCGCCACTGCATTCCAGCCTGGGTGACAGAGCGAAACACCATCTCAAAACAAAACAAAACAACCCCACCATTACCAGGAAGGGGGAATTACCTGTCTCACAAAGCCACTCTCCCCCAGCATCTTGATGGATTTATTTCCCTTTTTTTTTCCCCCGAGATAGAGTGTTAGTCTGTCACCCAGGCTGGAGTGCAGTGGTGCAATCTCAGTTTACTGCAATCTCTGCCTCCGGGTTGAAGCAGTTCTCCTGCCTCAGCTTCCCAAGATGGGATTACAGGCGCCCACCACCATGCCCAGCTAATTTTTGTATTTTTAGTAGAGATGGGGACCATGTTGGCCAGGTTGGTCTCGAACTCCTGACCTGGTGATCTGGCCGCCTCAGCTTCCCGAAGTCCTGGGATTACAGGCATGAGCCACCAGACCCAGCCTTATTTCCTTTTATAAGTAAAAAAATGAGAACTGCTAATCCAGCTGGTTTGGGGAATAAAGTGTTTCTTCACCCCAAACCCCAAAACTCATCCAGCAGCAATGTAGGGAACCTCAGCTCTAGTGCCCTGTTTCCTGCTCCTAGTTCTGCTCATAACTGTTATGTCTTAGTCCAGCCACTAGGAAAATTACTCCTGCCACATCTCAGTAAGGAGCTTTGAGGTTAAAGGGAGCTGAACATACACTGAAACACTCGGTTCCTTGGAACAAAGGGTTCAAGTTGAAATCCAGGTGTTATTCTGGTTTGCTACTTTCCTGCAGTTCTGCCATTTGAAATCTGGGCCCACAGAGAAGTCTGTGACGTAGTTTCATTTTGAACTAAAATTCTATTTTGCTTGGCATGTTTCAAAATATCTTCTAAAATACAGGGAAAAAGATACTCAAATCATGAGCTGCATCTTCATGCAAGATAACATTCTAGGAATCTATGCCAGCTTTGATTTAAAGTTGGCTTTGTGCTAGGCACTTTGAATATATATTATCTCAAGCCTGCACTGGTTTATAACTTAAGAAAACTGATACGGTTTCTTGAATGACATTCAATAACTGGTTAACTTGAGAAGATGAGGTAGTTCATAAGGTGAGTGGCCAAAGTAGTTACACCTTGAAATCTGTCTACCAGGCACAAGAGTTTGGCAGCTAGTATATAATATATATATATATACATATATATATATATATGTATATATATATATATATATTTTTTTTTTTTTTTGAGATGGAGTCTTGCTCTTTCACTCAGGCTGGAGTACGATGGCATGATCTCCACTCACTGCAACCTTCGCCTCCCAGTTTTGAGAGATTCTCATGCCTTAGCCTCCTAAGTAGCTGTGCTTACAGGTGTGTGCCACCAAACCCAATTAATTTTTGTATTTTTAGTAGAGGTGGGGTTTCACCATATTGGCCAGTCTGGTCTCAAACTCCTGACCTCAGGGGATCCACCTGCCTCAGCCTCCCAAAGTGTTGGGATCACAGGCATGAGCCACTGCACCGGCCAGGTAGTAGTCTCTTCTCTTTTTTTGTTTTATTGAGGCTTTGTCTCCCAGGCTGAGTGTGGTGGTGGGATTATGGCTCACTGCAGCCTTGATCTTCCAGGCTCAAGTGATCTTCCTGCCTCAGCCTCCCAAGGAGCTGGTACTATAGGTACACAGTACTATGTGAAGCCAATTTTTTATTTTTTTATAGAGATGAGGTCTCACTATGTTGCCCAGGCTGGTCTGGAACCCCTGGCCTGAAGCGGTCCTCCGACCTAGGCCTCTGAAAGTGCTGGGATTACAGGCATGAGCCACCACAACCGGCCTCTTTTTTCATTCTATGTGATTACTGAAATTATTGTACAGGACAGGAGGACATAATTACATGCTTTCTTGTGCAAAAATATTTGGGAAATTTGTGGGGTTTTTTTTTCGTTTTGCTTTGGTTTTTGATGACTCTTGCCTCTTCCTGGAAAACTGTTATCCCCCCAAGCCAATACCCCCTGTGGCTTCCAACAGCCAATACAAAAGCTTCACATTGTGATGGGGGCTTTTTAGTGGTAAGTGGGGTGTATTGTGAGGGGCTAGTGATAAGGGATAATTTTTAATTTTAGCATCTTACATTACCCAAAGATACTTTGTAAAGTTAATAGAAGTGTTGTACACAGTCATTAAAATTACAACTGTACTATATTATTTGGTTTTCCAAAATCAAAAAGGAAACTTTTAAATTGCTTAAACACAATCCACAGAATTAAGAAGTATTAGATGCCCTTCAGTTGAACTAATTGTCTAATAAAGGGTTGACAGTTAAATACAGCAACTGTTTTCAAAGTTATATTCTTGGTTCACTGGAAGAAAAAAATGGTGCCTGAAACTGAATTTTTTAATTGCCTCATTTCTTGTAAACAATTTAAAGAGGTTGGACAATCTAGGGAGCATTCAATAAATACTCCTGCCTGGCCCTACCACCTATGGCGGCCTTCCTTTGTCTGGGTTAGAGCCTGGGTCAGATGTTTGAAAGCTTTCATAGGTGATTCTAATGTGCAGCTATGTGGTAATCAGTGTAGTCCAGCAGTGGCGCATGGCTCCATGCCCACTAGAATCACCTAGGGTGATTTTGAAACCACTGATGCTCCAGTGTTGGAAATTCTGACTTGATTTTACTAGATAAGGCCCAGACTTTTCTTCCTAAGCTTACCCGGTGATTATACTGCATAACCAGTGTAAAGGAATATTATAAAGGAAAGTTGTAAATTATTTTAAGAAAACTCTGTCACCGGGCACAGTGGCTCACAGCTGTAATCCCAGCACTTTGGGAGGCCAAGGCAGGAGGATAACTTGAGCCCAGAAGTTTGAGACTAGCCTAGGCAACATACTGCAACCCCATCTCAATGCTTGATCTTAGCCAGAAGTCCAAGAAGTGATATAGTGCTACCCCATCTCTACAAGAAATTTTAAAGATTAGCCAGGTGTGGTGGCACACGCCTGTAGTCCTAGCTCATTTGGAGGCTGATGTGGGAGGATTTCTTGAGCCCAAGAGTTCAAGGTGGCAGTGAGCTTTGATTGCACCACTGCACTGCAGCCTGTGTGACAGAGCAAGACTCTATCTCCAAAAATAAAAAATAAGCCTGCTATTTGAATATTTAATTAAGCCTCGTCACATGGGCTGTTTTATATTTTTTCACTTATTACAAATCAGAAAGTTCTTAATGTATTTCTTATGTTTGAATGGAAACTTACATAATCTTTGGCCAATCCATTAATGTTATCATTTTTAGGAGTGAAGCATAGCCAGCTGTCTCTAGATAAAGAATCACCAAATCTTTAGCCGCTTTAAACGTGTATTAGTGTTTTCATCTTGGAGTTCAATTTAAATATTTTTGTAATAAATAAAACTTGCTGCCAGGTATACTGGCTCACTCCTGTAATCCCAACACTTTGGGAGGCCTACGTGGGCAGCTCACCTGAGCCCAGGACCATCCTGGGCAACTTGGGGGAACCCTGTCTCTACAAAAAAATACAAAGAATTAGCTGAGTGAGGTGATGTGTGCCTGTAGTCCCAGCCATTCGGGAGGCTGAGGTGGGAGGATTGATTGAGCCCAGGTGGTTGAGGCTTCAGTGAGCCGTGGTTGTGCCACTGCACTGCAACCTAGGTGACAGTCTGAGACCCGGACAGCCTGGGTAACAGAGCCAGATCCTGTCTCAAAAATAAAAATAAATAAGTAGAGCTTGCTGGATAAACTATAGTAGGTTAAGCTATTTTTAGTGTTTAGTGTCTCACGTGTCCATGTGAAGAGACCACCAAACAGGCTTTGTGTGAGCAGCAAGGCTGTTTATTTCACCTGGGTGCAGGCGGGCTGAGTCTGAAAAGAGAGTCAGCAAAGGGTGATGGGATTATCATTAGTTCTTACATGTTTTGGGATAGGCGGTGGAGTTAGGAGCAATGTTTTGCGGGCAGGGGTGGATCTCACAAAGTACATTCTCAAGGATGGGGAGAATTACAAAGAACCTTCTTAAGGGTGGGGGAGATTACAAGGTACATTGATGAGAGTGGGGCAGAAACAAATCACAATGGTGGAATGTCATCAGTTAAAGCTAATTTCACTTCTTTTGTGGATCTTCAGTTGCTTCAGGCCATCTGGATGTATACATTCGGGTCACAGGGGATATTATGGCTTAGCTTGGGCTCAGAGGCCTGACACTTAGCTCTTTGGGTGCCTAAATTGTTTGCATTGATTTTAATGCTTCATATATTCAGAGGAAGAAATTTGCTTGTTTGAAACTGCTTTCTCACCACTGAGTTTGTTTCAAAGTGGTGATCTTAGATTCCCTTGAGAATGTTGTAGCCATCTCACAGTTTTTTTGTATGTTTGTATGTATTTATTTATTTATTTATTTTTAGATGGAGTTTCGCTCTTATTGCCCAGGCTGGAGTGCATTGACGCTATCTCTGCTCACTGCAAACTCCACCTCCTGGGTTCAAGTGATTCTCCTGCCTCAGCCTCCTGAGTAGCTGGGATTACAGGCATGTGCCACCATGCCCAGCTAATGTATTTTTAGTAGAGATGGGGTTTCTCCATGTTGGTCAGGCTGGTCTCAAACTCCCGACCTCAGGCAATCCTCCCGCTTTGGCCTCCCAAAGTGCTGGAATTACAGGCATGAACCAGCACTCCTGGCCATCTCACAGTTCTTGAGGGTGTACTAATGGATGTATTGTTCAGTCTTTTGGTAGGAATGAATTGAAACCTTTAAGCTTTAAGAGGCACAATTGTGAGGATCCCAAATTTGAACCCAGCTTAAGCAAAATAATGAGACTCTGTCTCCAAAATAACCAAACAAGTAACTCCATGCTTATAAGACTCTGTTTTTCTTGCCAAATAATTTTAGAAATGAGTTATTTTATGATACTGTTCTATCTGTTTTATTCAAGGCTATCATTCTATAGTAAGTAGTCCTTATATAATTGATACTAATAACAAATTAATGATTTAATATGACTTACTGCTATAGATGAGGTATGTTTTGGTTGTATAACCTCATAATATATATTTAGGTCCCAGTCAGAAACAGCCAGGGTTTGAGGTTTTTTGTTGTTGTCGTTGTTTGTTTGTTTGTTTTTGCATTTTAGTTCATTTCCTGTTGAAATGTGGTGGAAGCAGGGACCCAAACATGCCTTTTGGGTGATTTAGCAGCATAAAACAAGGCATCTTAAATGAGAGTTAGATGATGAGGCGGCCAAAATGGCAAAGTTATATTCTTGGTTAACTGGAAGAAACCAATTATTTAATATTTATGTGTTCCCAAGTGGAGTTTAAATTATTAAAGTGAACAATGCTGAGATTGAAGTACTCTCAGATGATATGTCTATATGAAAATGGCATGCTTTTGTACTAAAATGCTGAGTAATGACCGCTGAGACCAAAATTTTGTACATTTTTTGGGAAAAAAGTCCAGAGTGGTCCTGCAATTTTAGAGGTCTCTGGCTTCCAGAATATTGAGAACCATTGGGATTCAGAAAAGGAAATAATATGGGTTATTTATTTATTTATTTTTTGCTGGTACCCAGAAAATACTGATAAGGCAATTGAGTTCAGTTGACTTGAAAATTGTGTCATGTATATTTTTGCGCAGGTGGTTTGTGTGTAAGTCCTGGGAGATCGTAGGATATTCTAGGAAATTGTGAATTTCCTAACCTGAGTATATTTATAAAAATTGTCCTCTTAGCAGACGTGAGGATGCTGTAGTGGATTACCCCCAAAGGGTTCTTTATATTCTCTGGTTCTCAAATTAAAAATGCTTTAGGATTATTGATAATCGATTACATTTTTTTCCTTATAGAATTTGCCATCTGCCTTAGTAAGTCATGTACTAAATCCTCAACCTGGAGAGAAGATTCTAGACTTGTGTGCAGCACCTGGAGGGAAAACAACACACATTGCAGCACTAATGCATGATCAGGTGAGACTGTCTTCACAGCAAATCCACTCTCAAAGTAGTGTATATTTCACAATGTGTAATTTCTGAAACATAGAGCCATTCACAGTCTCATTTAGTTCAGATTCAGCCAAAATGAAAACTATTCAGTTATGTCAGTCACTACATATTAAGCTCAGTAGACAATGATCATTTATGAAGACTGTCTCAAGACCGTCTTGAATTTTACAATTTGCTTATATGATTATAGACTTAATCTGTTAAGAAATTAAATTTAATACATTTAGATTATTTCATTTTCTTATAAGATTTCATAGTTGTTTAAACTATTAAAATATATTCTGCCATTAAAAACTAATTTCACAGTATATTATCAAAGTGTGAAATATGTATATGTTAAAATATATAAACATAGTTGTATAATACATAAACATATACACATACATATAGAATATTTACTATTTGAAGTTATCATTTTGGTCTAAGAAAGATCTCCAATAAAAAAGGATATTTTTTAAATACTGAGAATGAGAATCAAAAAAGAGAAAAGGATATTTGTTGTTTACATTTTGAGGAATGTAATACTCATTAGAGAGGATATACTTGCCTGCTTATTTATACTCTTCTTTGCCCCAAAAGAATTTAAGGTGGTAACAAAAACTCTTGAAGGAAAAATGCATTAAATACAACTAGGGCCTAAAATAAAGCACCTGAAATAAGAAGGGTTGATTTTGTGGCGTTGTGATGTTTAATGCAAATCATTTTTCACTTTATATGGAAGATTAAAGATTGATCATGATCGGCTTTGAGAAAGTGTTAATTCTCCATTAAATTATGGCATATTTATCGTATTTGCTTAAAGGTAATTATTCATAGAGATTTGGTTCTCTCTTAGTAAAAATGTCTTTCCAAAGGGAGTCTGGATATTATGGGTGTATCAGTTTTCTGTTGGTTTTATGATGTGTGAAGACACAAAATTTTGGCGGCATACAACTAAACATTTTGGGGGCTCAGGAGTCCATGGGATTCAGCTGATCCCTGCTGGGCTCACTCATGTACTGGTCACCTGCAGGTGAATTGGGTGTTTCTGATGATCTTGGGTGGGCCCATTCACTTGGTCTTGGATGGTTGTTGGCTCATCTAAAGTGGCCTCAGCTGAGATGACAGGGATGCCCTGCCTCTGGCCGATGTGTAAGTTCTCCCCTGATTGGGACCAGCAGGCTGGCCCAGCAGAGGGCAGTAGTTGGGGGCTGGTGATGGCAGAGAGCAAAGCAGAGCAAGTCCAACTGTTCAAGTGCTTTTCATGGTATTAAAAAAAACCTCTGCTTACATGACATCTACTGTCACCCTATTTATTGGCCAAAACAAATCACATGACTGAATCCCATCAGAGTGACAGCATATTGGATATTGCAGGATTATCTGGTGAAGAGTGAATATACATGGAAAGTTGAAGAATTGAGGCTATGTAGGCAGTCAGCCACAGTGGGGCAGCAATGCAGACACGAACAACCGGAATAGAAATATTTGAGCCACAATTGGATCACGAGGTTAAGAGATCGAGACCATCCAGGCCAACATGTGAAACCCCATCTCTACTAAAAATACAAAAAAAAGTAGCTGGGCATGGTGGCGTGTGCCTGTAGTCCCAGCTACTTGGGAGGCTGAGGCAGGAGAATCGCTTGGACCTGGGAGGCAGAGATTGCAGTGAGCCAAGATCGCGCCACTGCACTCCAGCATGGGTGACAGAGTGAGACTCCGTCTCAAAAAAAAACAAAAAACAACAACAACAAAAAAAAACAGAAAGTGTCTATCACTGAACCTGGTAGTATTTGAGGAATATTTACAAATTGTCTGCATTGTAGGCTATGCCATTGCTGCATATGGCATACAAGGGCAGTGTAAAAGAAAAGGGAAAACAAAGCAAGAAAATATATAGAAGAGTCATTCTCACTGTATTTGCAATTCCATTTCATAGTATGTTTTAAAATATATGAATGTCACCAGGCTTGCTTTCTTTTTTTTTTTTTTTCTCAGAGTCTTGCTCTGTCGCTGAGGCTGGAGTGCACCGTGGCCCAGTCTTGGCTTACTGCAACCTCCGCCTCCCGGGTTTGAGCGATTCTCATGCCTCAGTCTCCCAAGTAGTGGGGCTTACAGGTGCATGCCACCACACCCGAATAATTTTTGTATTTTTAGTAGAGATGGGGTTTCACCATGTTGGCCAGGATGGTTTCAAACTCCTGGCCTCAAGTGATCTGCCTGCCCCGGCCTCCCAAAGTGCTGGGATTACAGGCATGAGCCACTGTGCCTGGCCCACGATGCATTCTTAAAATTTTGGCCCTTTTTTTTTTTTTTTAATTGTGCTTTAAGTTCTGCAATACACCTGCAGAATGTGCAGGTTTGTTACATAGGTATACATGTGCCATGATGGTTAGCTGTACCTATCAACCCGTTATCTAAGTTTTAAGCCCCACATGCATTAGGTATTTTTCCTAATGCTATCCCTCCCCTTACCTCCAACCCTTTGACAGGCCCCCGTGTGTGATGTTCCCCTCCCTGTGTCCATGTGTTCTCATTGTTCAACTCCCACTTATGAGTGAGAACATGTGGTGTTTGGTTTTCTGTTCCTGTGTTAGTTTGCTGAGAATGATAACTTCCAGCTTCATCCATGTCCCTGTAAAGGACATGAATTCATTCATTTTTATGGCTGCTTAGTATTCCATGGTGTCTATGTGCCACATTTTCTTTATCCAGTCTGTCATTGATGGGCATTTGGGTTGGTTCCAAGTCTTTGCTATTGTAAATAGTGCTGCAGTAAACATATGTGTGCATATGTTTTTATAGCAGAATGATTTATAATCCTTTGGGTATATGCCCAGTAATGGGATTGCTGGGTCAAATGGTATTTCTGGTTCTAGATCCTTGAGGAATCGCCACACTGTCTTCCACAGCGGTTGAACTAATTTACACTCCCACCAACAGTGTAAAGGCTATTTCTCCTATTTCTCCACATCCTTGCCAGCATCTGTTGTTTCCTGACTTTTTAATCGCCATTCAAACTGGCGTGAGATGGTATCTCATTGTGGTTTTGATTTGCATTTCTCTAATGACCAGTGATGACGAGCTTTTTTTCATATGTTTATTGGCAGCATAAATGTTGTCTTTTGAGAAGTGTCTGTTCATATCCTTCGTCCACTTTTTGATGGGATTTTTTTTTCTTGTAAATTTGTTTAAGTTCTTCGTAGATTCTGGTTATTAGACCTTTGTCAGATGGGTAGATTGCAAAAATTTTCTCCCAATCTGTAGGTTGCCTGTTCACTCCAATGATAGTTTCTTTTGCTGTGCAGAAGCTCTTTAGTTTAATTAGATCCCATTTGTCAATTTTGGCTTTTGTTGCCATTGCTTTTGGTGATTTAGTCATGAAGTCCTTGCCTATGCCTGTGTCCTGAATGGTAATGCCTAGGTTTTCTTCTAGGGTTTTTATGGTTTTGGGTTTTACATTTAAGTTTTTAATCCATCTTGAGTTAATATTTGTGTAAGGAAGGGGTGCAGTTTCTGTCTTCTGCATATGGACAGCCAGTTTTCCCAGCACCATTTATTAAATAGGGGATCCTTTCACCATTGCTTGTTTTTGTCAGGTTTGTCAAAGATCTGATGGTTGTAGATGTGTGTTGTTATTTCTGAGGTCTCTGTTCTGTTACATTGGTCTATATGTTTTGTTACCAGTACATTGCTGTTTTGGCTACTGTAGCCTTGTAATATAGTTTGAAGTCAGGTAGCATGATGCCTCCAGCATTGTTCTTTTTGCTTAAGATTGGCTTGGCTATACTTGCCCTTTTTTGGTTCCATATGAAGTTTAAAGTATTTTTTTCTAATTCTGCTAAGAAAGACAATCGTGGCTTGATGGAAATACCGTTGAGTCTATAAATTACTTTGGGCATTATGGCCATTTTGATGTTATTGATTCTTCCTATCCACGAGCATGGAATTTGTTTCCATTTGTTTGTGTCCTCTCTTATTTCCCTGAACAATGGTTTGCAGTTCTTCTTGAAGGGGTAATTCATGTCCCTTGTAAGTTGCATTTCTAGGTATTTTATTCTCTTTGTAGCAATTGTGAATGGGAGTTCACTCATGATTTGGCTCTCTGCTTGTCTGTTGTTGGTGTAAAGGAATGCTTGTGATTTTTTTGCACACTGATTTTTTATCCTGAGACTTTGCTGAAGTTGCTTATCAGCCTAAGGAGTTTTTGGGCTGAGACGATGGGGTTTTCTACATATACAGTCATGTCATCTGCAAACAGAGACAACTTGACTTCCTCTCTTCCTATTTGAATACTCTTTATTTCTTTCTCTTGCCTGATTAGCCTGGCCAGAGCTTCCAATACTATGTTGAATAGGAGTGGTGAGAGGGGGCATCCTTGTCTCATGCCAGTTTTCAAAGGGAATGCTTCCAGCTTTTGCCCATTCGGTATGATGTTGGCTACGGGTTTGTCACAAATAGCTCTCATTATTTTGAGATGTTCCATCAATACCTAGTTTATTGAGAGTTTTTAACATGAAGGGATGTTGAATTTTATGGAAGGCCTTTTCTGTATCTATTGAGATAATCATGTGGTTTTTGTCATTGGTTGTTTATGTGATGGATTACGTTTTTTGATTTGAGTGTGTTGAATCAGCCTTGCATCCCCGGGATGAAGCTGACTTGATTGTGGTGGATAAGCTTTTTAATGTACTGCTGGATCTGGTTTGCCAATATTTTATTGAGGATTTTTGCATAGATATTCATCAGGGATATTGTCCTGAAATTCTCTTGTTTTGTTGTGTCTCTGCCAGGTTTTGGTATCAGGATGATGCTGGCCTCATAAAATGAGGAATCATTTTCTATTGTTTGGAATCATTTCAGAAGGAATGGTGCCAGCTCCTCTTTGTACCTCTGGTAGAATTTTGCTGTGAATCCATCTGGTCCTGGGCTTTTTTTAGTTGGTAGGCTATTACCGCCTCAATTTCAGAACTTGTTATTGGTCTATTCAGGAATTTGACTTCTTCCTGATTTAGTTTTGGGAGGGTGTATGTGTCCAGGAATTTATCCATTTCTTCTAGATTTTCTAGGTTATTTGCATGGAGGGGTTTATAGTATTCTCTGATGGCAGTTTGTATTTCTTTGGGATCAGTGGTGACATCCCCTTTATCATTTTTTATTGTGTCTGTTTGATTCTTCTTTGTTTTCTTCTGTGTTAGTCTAGCTAATGGTCTGTTTTGTTAATCTTTTCAAAAAACCAGCTCCTCAATTCATTCTTTGAAGGGTTTTTTGTGTCTCTGTCCCCTTCATTTCTGCTCTAGTTATTTATTGTTTTCTGCTACCTTTTGTTGGCTCTTTCTTCTCTAGTTCTTTTAATTGTGATGTTTGGGTGTCGATTTCAGATCTTTCCAGCTTGATGATGTGGGCATTTAGTGCTATAAATTTCCCTCTTAACACTGCATTAACTGTGTCCCAGAGATTCTGGTACATTGTCTCTTTGTTCTCATTGGTTTCAAATAACTTCTTTATTTCTGCCTAAATTGTTTTATTTACCCAGTAGTCATTCAGGAGCAAGTTGTTCAATTTCCATGTAGTCGTGCGGTTTTGAGTGAGTTTCTTAATCCTGAGTCCTAATTTGATTGCACTGTGGTCTGAGAGACTGTTTGTTATGATTTCCATTCTTTTGCATTTGCTGAGGAGTGTTTTACTCCCAGTTATGTGGTCGAGTTTAGAATAAGTGCCATGTGGCACTGAGAATAATGTATATTCTGTTGATGTGGGGTAGAGAGTTCTGTAGATGTCTATTAGGTCCACTTGATCCAGAGGTGAGTTCATGTCCTGAATATCCTTGTTAATTTTCTGTCTCATTGATCTACTATTAACAGTAGGGTGTTAAAGTCTCCCACTATTATTGTGTGGGAGTCTTAAGTCTCTTTGTAGGTCTCTAAGAACTTGTTTTATGAATCTGGGTGCTCCTGTATTGGGTGCATATATATTTAGGATAGTTAGCTCTTCTTGTTGCATTGACCCTTTTGTCATTATGTAATGCCCTTCTTTGTCTTTTTTGATCTTTGTTGGTTTAAAGTCTGTTTTATCAGAGACTAGGATTGCAACCCCTACTTTTTTTTTGCTTTCCATTGACTTGGTAAATATTCCTCCATTCCTTTATTTTGAGCCTGTGTGTGTCTTTGCACATGAGATGGGTCTCCCGAATACAGCACACCGATGGGTCTTGACTCTTTATCCAGTTTACTAGTCTGTATCTTTTAATTGGGGCATTTGGTCATTTACATTTAAAGTTAATATTGTTAGGTGTGAATTTGATCCTGTCATCATGATGCTAGCTTGTTATTTTGCGCGTTAGTTGATGCAGTTTCTTCATAGTGTCGTTGGTCTTTATATTTTGGTGTGTTTTTGCAGTGGCTGTTACTGGTTTTTCCTTTCCATATTTAGTGCTTCCTTTAGGAGCTCTTGTAAGGGTGGACTGGTGGTGACAAAATCCCTCAGCATTTGCTTGCCTGGAAAGGATTTTATTTCTCCTTTGCTTATGGAGCTTAATTTGGCTAGATGTGAAATTCTGGGTTGAAAATTCTTTTATTTAAGAATGTTGAATATTCACCCCCATTCTATTTTGGCTTGTAGGGTTTCTGCAGAGACATCTGCTGTTAGTCCGATGGGCTTCCCTTTGTAGGTGACCTGACCTTCCTTTCTGGCTGCCCTTAACCTTTGCTTCAACCTTTGAAAATCTGATTATGTGTCTTGGGGTTGCTCTTCTTGAGGGGTATCTTAGTGGTGTTCCCTGTACTTTCTGAATTTGAACTTGGGCCTGTCTTGCTAGGTTGGGGAAGTTCTTCTGGATGATATCCTAAAGTGTGTTTTCCAATTTGGTCCATTCTCCCTGTCACTTTCAGGTATGCCAGTCATTCATGGGTTTGGTCTTTTCACATAGTCGCATATTTCTTGTAGGCTTTGTTCACTCCTTTTCATTGTTTTTTCTCTAATCTTGTCTTTATGCCTTATTTCAGCAAGGTGATCTTCAGTCTCTGATATCCTTTCTTCTGCTTCATCGATTTGTCTATTGATACTTGTGTATGCTTCAAGAAGTTCTCATGCTGTGTTTTTCAGCTCCATCAGGTCATTTATGTTCCTCTCTAAACTGGTTATTTTAGTTAGCCATTCCTGTAACCTTTTATCAAGGTTCTTAGCTTCCTTGCATTGGGTTAGAACATGCTCCTTTAGCTCAGAGGAGTTTGTTATTACCCACCTTCAGAAGCCTACTTCTGTCAGTTTGTCAGTCTCATTCCCTGTCCAGTTTTGTGCCCTTGCTGGAGAGGAGTTGCGATTATTTAGAGGAGAAGAGGCATTCTGGTTTTTGGAATTTTCAGCATTTTTGTGCTGTTATTTCCTCATCTTCATGGATTTATATACCTTTGATCTTTGAGGTTGATGACCTTTGGATGGGATTGTTGTGGGGGTCTTTTTTGTTGATGTTGTTGCTTTCTGTTTGTTAGTTTTTCTTCTAACAGGCCTCTCTTCTGCAGGTCTGCTGCGGTTTGCTGGAGGTCCACCCCAGACCCTGTTTGACTGGGTATCACCAGTGGAGGCTGCAGAACAGCAAAAATTGCTGCCTGTTCCTTCCTCTGGAAGCTTCATCTGAAAGGGCACTGGCCCGATGCTAGCTGGAACTCTCCTGCATGAGGTGTCTGTCGACCCCTGTTGGGTGGTCTCTCCTAGTCAGGAGGCACGGAGATCAGGGACCCACTTGAGGCAATCTGTCCCTTAGCAGAGCTGGTACACTGTGCTGGGAGAATCCCCCTTGTCAGGATCAGCTTCTCTCTTCAGAGCCCGCAGGCTGGAAAGATTAAGTCTGCCCAAGCTGTGCCCACAGCCACCCCTCCCCCCAGGTGCTCTGTCCAAGGGAAATGAGAGTTTTATCTGTAAGCCCCTGAGTGGGCCTGCTGCCTGTCCTTCAGAGATGCCCTGCCCAGTGAGGAGGAATCTAGAGAAGCAGTCTGGCCACAACTGCTTTGCTGTGCTGCGGTCAATTCTTCCCAGTCCAAACCTCCCAGTCTCCTTAGCACTGTCAAGGTACAACAGCCTCCTGAAGACTCAGTAATGGCGGATGCCCACCAAGCTCGGTCATCCCACGTTGACTCCAGACTGCTGTGCTGGCTGTGAGAATTTCAAGCCAGTGGTTCTTAGCTTGCTGGGCTCCGTGACAGTGGGACCTACTGAGTGAGACCACTTGGCTCCCTGGCATTAGCCCCCTTTCCAGGGGAGTAAACGGTTCTGTCTTACTGGGGTTCCAGGTGCCACTGAGGTACAAAAAAAAAAACTACAGCTAGCTCGGTGCCTGCCCAAATGGCCGCCCAGTTTTGTGCTTGAAACCCAGGGCCCATGTGTAGGCTCATGAGGGAATCTCCTGATCTGTGGATTGCAAAAACCATGGGAAAAGCGTAGTACCCAGCCTGGGTAGCACAGTTTGTTCCTCACAGCTTCTCTTGGCTGGGGGAGGGAGGCCCCCCAGCTGCTTGCACTTCCTGGGTGAGTGACGCCCCATCCTATTTCTGCTGGCTGTCCGTGCGTTGCACCCACTGCCTAACCAGTCCCAGTGAGATGAACTGGGTACCTCAGTTAGAAATGCAGAAATCACTCACGTTCTGCATTGGTCTCGCTGGGAGCTACAGACTGGAGCTGTTTCTATTCAGCTCTCTTGGCCCCTCCCAAATTTTGACCTCTTATCTTTATTGACTTTGACTTAAAGTGTTACTATATAAAATTTTCTTGAACTGCGTTTTATACCATACCAAAATATTTTGCTATGCTATACAGAGGTTTTGGCTTATATTTTTCCAGTTTTGGTTGCCAGGGTTCACAGGAATTATATGTGGCTAGCTGGGAAATATTAAAATGACCAGTCATACAAGTAACATTCATTTGCATCTCAAAGCACTTTAAGGCCGCCGTCTAATAGCATTAGCTCATGTTGTTCCAGAGGTGAGCAAGGCACATCAAATTGGTGATTTTTAATGTTTGCCTCCAGTGGATGTTTTTAAGTGTCTTTCGAAGATTGCAAATACTTTTGGTGTTGAGTTTTGTTGATTAAAAGTAGCTAGTTATTATAAGATTATTTTTCTGGCAAGAATGTGTATTTTCTTAATGGAAAGCCATAAGTATTTAATGTGAATTGGATATACATGAGAGGTGAAGCCAACTGGACTTCCTGGGTCGAGTGGGGACTTGGAGAACCTTTCTGTCGAGCTAGAGGATTGTAAACGCACCAATCAGTGCTCTGTGTCTAGCTAAAGGATTGTAAATGCACCAATCAGCACTGTGTAAAATGGACCAATCAGCGCTCTGTAAAATGGACCAATAGGCAGGATGTGGGCGGGGCCAAATAAGGGAATAAAAGCTGGCCACCAGAGCCAGTAGCTGCAAGCCGCTAGGGTCCCCTTCCACATAGTGGAAACTTTGTTCTTTCGTTCTTCACAATAAATCTTGCTGCCGCTGACTCTTTGGGTCTGCACTACCTTTGTGAGCTGTAACACTCACTACGAAGGTCTGCGGCTTCACTCCTGAAGTCAGCGAGACCACGAACCCACTGGGAGGAACAAACAACTCTGGACGCACCACCTTGAACAGCTATAACACTCACTGCGAAGGTCTGCCGCTTCACTCCCCAAGTCAGCAAGACCACGAACCCACCCGGAGGAACAAACAACTGCAGACGCGCCACCTTTAAGAGGTGTAACACTCACTGCGAAGGTCTGCGGCTTCACTCCTGAAGTCAGGGAGACCATGAACCGACCGGAAGGAAGAAACTCCAGACACATCTGAACATCTGAAGGAACAAGCTCCGGACACAACGTCTTTAAGAACTGTAACACTCATCGCAAGGGTCTGCGGCTTCATTCTTGAGGTCAGCGAGACCAAGAACCCACCAGAAGGAATAAATTCCAGACACATACATTTGGTTAATGGATAGAGGTTTTAAATTAGGGATGGGAGTATGGTGGAAAAGACCATAATTTTTCATGTTTTTCTCATTATTTTTATGACTGCTTTGGATTTATAATTTTCTTTTTTTTTTTCTGCATGTGTGTGTTTTGTTTCTTTTTAGGGAGAAGTTATAGCACTGGATAAAATCTTCAACAAAGTAGAAAAAATCAAACAGAATGCCTTATTGTTAGGGCTGAATTCCATCAGGGCATTTTGTTTTGATGGAACAAAGGCGGTTAAACTTGATATGGTGGAGGACACAGAAGGTGAGCTATTTTGATTTTCTTATTTTTAATTGACAGATCATATATTTGTGGCATACAGTGTGATGTTTTGACATGTATATAATTTTGTATACAATGTGGAATGATTAAAACAAGCTAATTAACATATCCATCACTGTACTTATCCTTGTGGTAATTTGAAATTTACTCTCATAGCAGCTTTGAAACACAAAATACATTAGTATAGTCACCATGCTGTGCAGTAGATCTCAAAAACTTACTCCCGTCCATCTGAAACTTTGTACCCTTTGAACAGTGTCTCCCATTCCTTGGTCCTCCCTCCTCCCCCAGCCTCTGGTAACCACTATTCTTTCTATGAGTTTGACTTTTTTAGATTCCCCACTTAAGTGAGATCGTGTAATATTTGTCCTTCACTGCCTGGCTTATTTCACTTAGCATAATATGATGTCTTCCAGGTTCATCTATTTTGTTGCAAACAACATAATTTCTTTTTGTTTTAAAGGCTGAATGGTATTCCATCGTGTGTATGTACCACATTTTCTTTATTCATTCGTTTCTTGATGGATTCCATATCTTGACTGTTGGGAATAATGCTGCAGTGAAATGAGAGTGCAGATATCTCTTTGACCTGCTGATTTCAATTCCTTTGTCTATATACCCAGTAGTAGGATTGCTGGGTAATTTGGTAGTTCTATTTACTTTTGAAGAACCTCCATACCATTTTACATAATGGCTGTACTAATTTACATTCCTACCAACAATGTAAAAGAGTTTGGTTTTCTCTGCATCCTTGCCGGCATATATTATTTTTTGTGTGTGTGTTTTTAATGATGGCCATTTTAACTGGGGTGAGGTGACATCTCGTTGTTTTGATTTGCATTTTCCTGATGATTAGCGATATTGGGCATTCTTTCATAAACTTGTTGGCTATTTGTATGTCTGTTAGGTCCTTCTCTCTCTTTTTTTTTTTTTAATAGGTCTCTATTTTTGAAAGATCTATTTGAAATAGGTCTTTATTTTTGAGAGATAGTTTTACTGAGTATTAAATTCTTGGTTGATGGGTTTTTTTTTTTCTTTCTGTACTCTGAATATGTCATGTTACCATCTTTGGGGCTCCATTGTTCCTAATTAACAATCAACTGCTAATCTTTTATAGTTCCCTAGTACATGGCAAGTTGTTTTTCTCTTGCTTCCTTTAACATTTTCTCTTTGCTTTTGACTTTCAACATTTTTACGATGATGTATCTGGTTGTGGATCTTTTTGCATTTGTCCACCTCAGAGCTAGTTGTTCTTTTTGGATGTGTACATTGCTTTTCATCAAATGTGGGTCATTTTCAGCCATAATTTTTTGAATATTACCTTTTTTTCTTGCTTTCCTTTTGGGACTACCTAAGTTGTGTTAATAATGCCTAAGTTGTCTTAATAATGTCACAAGTTTCTCTGAAGTTTGTGGTCATTTGTCTTCATTTTTGTATCTCTCTGACCTTCAGATTGTAACCAAAAACCTGATTAGCTGCATGCCACATTTAGAGTCTGATTAACAAGAATAAGGTCTGGTACAAGGAAAATGGTTTCTTCCAAAGCTAGCTTAGGGAATGAGGCATACAGCATCCTGCGTTTATATGTGCTGCTTCACCTTTGGAGCAGAAAGCGGAAACTTTTATAAGGTAAGGGGGGAAGTGAACGAGGGCAGGGCTCCCACTGCTAGCTGGTGCCTAATCTAACACAGTTTAATTGGCACCTTCCTGGGCAGGAATAAGTTGTAAAAGTGGCCAAGCAGGCATGATTTCGATATGTCCTCCTGGTGGATGAAAGTGCCCCCTACTCCCCACAAGAGTGGCAACACCTAGAGGGTGGAAATTTCAAGACCACCCCCTGGAGGTGAAAGTTCGCTGGCCAGTATGGTTTGGTCTGCAAATTGACTGTCAGTTCTCTAGGAGAGATCTGTCTTGGAGGCTTAGTTAGAAGAACTTGCCCTGCAGGGTATGTCTGGTGAGGGGAAAGTGTGTAAAAGATTAAATTTGCGTTTCTGAAGGGCTGAGTAGGAAACAAACGGGGAATAGGGAAAGGGGAGAAGAGAACAGAAAATAATTTTTAAAATAGCAATTCATTCCTTTTTTCTTAGAAAAATGCAAGCACTCAGTTACAAGATTACATAATCTATATTCATCTGTCTTCAAGTATGCTCATTTTTTTCTATAGGCTTAACTCTGGTTGAGCCCCTCTAGTGGAATTTTTAAGAATTGTACTTTCAACATCTTGATATCCTTTTTTAAAAATTTCCCTCTATTGATATTCTCTATTTGATGAAACATGGCGACCATATCTCCCTTTACATTTTTAAGCATGTTTTCCTTTCTTTTAATTCTTTGAACATATTTTTATTGGCTGCTTTAAAGTTTTTGCCTGCTAAGTCTGGCAGCTAAACTCTCTCAAAGTTAACTTTTTTGGCTGCTTTTTCTCCCCTACCAATGGGTCACATTTTCCTTTTTCTTTGCATATCTCATATTCTTTTTTCGGCTGAAAACTGGACATTTTAGGTAATACTGTCAACCGCGTCTGTGTGAAGAGACCACCAAGCAGGCTTTGTGTGAGCAACAAAGCTTTTAATTCACCTGGGTGCAGGTGGGCTGAGTCCGAAAAGGGAGTCAGCAAAGGGAGATAAGGAAGGGGTTGCCTTATAGGAGTTGGGTAGGTAATGGCAAATTACGGTAAAAGGTGGTTATCTATTGTTAGCAGAGGAGGGGGTTACAAGATGCGTGGTGGAGAGATCCTAAGACTTATTGTCCAGAAGAAGAATGTCACAAAGTTGACTGATCAGCCAAGGTAGGGCAGGGACACGTCACAATAGTAAAATATTATAATTTTAGTTGATCAGTTAAGGCAGGAACTGGCTGTGGTTTTTGGCTGTGGTTTTTCTTTGACTGCTCCAGACTTCTTGGCTCCTGCAGGCTATCTGGATGTGTATGTGCAGGTCACAGGGGTTATAATGGCTGAGCTTCGTCTCAGAGGCCTGACAAATACATCGTAACAACTTGAATGCTAATTCACCTCCTCCCCAGGCTTGTTGTGATAGTTTGCTTATTTGTTTAGTGTCATGGCTCCACTATTTTAGTAAACTGTATTCCTTCAGCATGTGCAGCTGAGATGTCACTCCTCAGCAGCTTTTTTGACATGGGCATAGTACTCCTGGGATTACAGTGGTTTTAGTTTTCGCAGGGCTCACTTTGTCTCTTTCCCTGCTCTTTGTGTTAAACTGTGTGCTTCAGTTGGCATTACAGAGCACTGTTACCCTCCACTAATTGCAGATTGATTGCTTTATTCTTTTCAACAGTGCCCTGGGACATAAGTTGCCCCACCATCTGATCCAATGAATATGAGATCCTTTGCATAGGTAATCTTTCTGAATAGTCTTTGAGGTTTTTCCCAGCCCAGAAGGCTCTTCTCGCTGTCTCATACCTTGATTCTCTCATAAACTTCTCCGGTCTTTGGTTTAGCGGATTCTTCTCATGGAGCTCCCAGCCTCCTCTTAATTGCTCACCACCACAATCTCCGTTATTTTCAAGAGTGTGCTGAGGCTTAAAATTCCACACCTTCTGTTCAAAATAAAGTTAGTTTGTTACAGTAGGTAGCTAGTCAGACATAAACAGGGCAGGAGAGAGCCTCCACAACCGGGAATGTCAGGCAAGCATCAGGTGACGGTCAGGCAGTTGTTAACTGTCTTTCTAAAATAATAATTGGTTGCAGCCAGTGCCAGGGAAAGGTAGTCTCCCAGAAGACAGAAAAAACATGAAACTGGTGATCAGCATTCTGATAAGATCTCAGGAGTTGGCTGAGTGGGCTCACACATGCACACGAAGGCAAGGTCTTGGAAGTTTAACTGGTATATGACCTCCTAGGGACTTTCGGCTGGTAAGGGAAGAACGCCTCAGCAAGAATGCACACAACTCCAGTAATTATGTTACTGGAAAGGGGTCCAGATCCAGACCCCAGGAGAGGGTTCTTGGATCTCCTGCAAGAAAGAATTCAGGATGAGTTCATAGAGTAAAGTGAAAGCAAGTTTATTAAGAAAGTAGAGGAATAAAAGAATGACTGCTTCATAGAGCAGCCTTGAGGGCTGCTGGTTTCCCTTTTTTTTTTTTTTGAGATGGAATCTCACTCTGTCACCAGTCTGGAGTACAGTGGCACGATCTCGGCTCACTTCAGCCTCCGCCTCCCGGGTTCAAGCGATTCTCCTGCCTCAGCCTCCTGAGTAGCTGGGACTACAGGCGCATGCCACCGCACCCAGGTAATGTTTTGTATTTTCAGTGGAGACGGGGTTTCACCATGTTGGCCACGATGATCTCGATCTCTTGACCTTGTGATCCGCCCACCTCGGCCTCCCAAAGTGCTGGAATTACAGGCATGAGCCACCACGGCTGGCTTGTTTGCCCATTTTTATGGCTATTTCTTGAGTATATGCTAAACAAGGGATAGAGTATTCATACCTCCCATTTTTAGACCTTATAGGTTAATTTCCTGATGCTGCCATGTCATTTGTAAATTGTCATGGTGCCAGTGGGAGTGTAGCAGTGAGGACCACCAGAGGTCACTTTCATCGCCATCTTTGTTTTGGTGGGTTTTAGCTGGCTTCTTTATTGCAAACTGTTTTTATCAGCAAGGTCTTTATGACCTGTATCTTGTACTGATCTTCTGTATCATCCTGTGACTAAGAATGCCTTAACTTACTGGGAATGCAGCCCAGTAGGTCTCAGCCTTATTTTACCCAGCCCCCATTCAAGATGGGTGGTTCAAACGCCTCTGATAAACACACTGTGCACGCTCCCCTCCCAAGTGCGAGCAGGCCACTGTCCATGCTGGCAGCCCACCCCAAGGGAAGAATCAGGAGAAGTAACGCCAGACCCCAGAAGTATGTCAGCATACAAAACCCCAAGTCAGAAGGTCAGACCATGCACTTGATCTCTCAAGTCGCCCAGTTGGCCCTCTTCCAAGTGTACTTTACTTTCTTTCATTTATGCTTTAAACTTTCTAATAAACTTTCACTCCTGCTCTAAAATTTGCCTCAACCAAGATCACTCTGCCTTGTGCCCCTTGGTCGAACTCTTTCTCCTGAGGGGGCAAGAATTGAGGTTGCTGCAGACCCAAACAGAGTTACTCCTGCTAGCAAGTTCACTTGGGGAGAGCTTCAGAACTCTGTTCTTCCTTTCTGCATCTTGGGTAAAACCTCTGGGCCACTGCTGCAGAGATGGGGGCAGGGCAGTGGTTTGTTTCTCTTGGAGCCAGACTCTTGATGCTGGGCTGGGGTGGCAGCCTCTGGTCTTTTGGCTTGCCTCTCCTGGGATGGAACCTCTTCACTTGGCTCTTGGGTGAGGGTAATCAGGGGTTAAATACTCTTAGCCTACTGTGCCTGGGTAGAGCTTCCCACCTATGAATGGGGGCTGGGTGGAGGAAGATAGCCCCCAGTTCTCTGGCTCTTATCTGGAATTATAGCCTGTGCAAGGTGGAACTGGGGCACATGAAACAAGCTGACAAGCCTGTCCCTCTTAGGGAGAGACCACAGTCCTTTCATTCCTTGACTGGGAGCTTAAGGAGAGAGGGAGTCTTGTGTTCTTGGCTGCACCCACATGAAGTGGATCTTATTCTGAGCTTCGGAGAAGTGGAAAGTAGTTGGAAAAGGGAGAAAAGAGCGGGTCATGGCACAAATGCACAGATTCTCACTGTTCTTATTAAGCTGTGGTTGATTTTCTTAAATAAATGTTTCTTCATTTGCTGTGTGGTCTTAGGACATTTTCCAGAGGCTTCAAAGGGTTGTTTTTGTTTTTGCCGCTGGCGAGAGCGTCTGCAAAACTCCCCATGCCCTTATTCCAGAAGTCATGTCAATCTCATTTAACACAAAATTGTTCCTAAATTACACACCACCTCAAAGTAATACAGTTTCAGAGATCCCTAGGTGTAGTTACAGGTGCGAAAGGAAAATAAATCTTGGGACCCCAAATCACTAAGCTAAAGGGAAAAGTCAAGCTGGGAACGGGTTAGGGCAAACCTGCTTCCCATTCTTTTCAAAGTTATCCCTCTGCTCACCTGAGACAAATGCACATATGATTGCCTTCTCTCCCCTATTGTTTATGTAAAAATGCAGATTTATTGAGGCAGACTAAATTGTGTATTCAGTGGAAGGCTGATCAAGACTCAAAAGAATGCAACCCTCTGTCTCTTAGCTACTCCTAACCTGGAAGCCCCACTTCCACCTTACCGGAGAACCAGTGTACATTTTACACATATTGATTGATGTCTCATGTCTCCCTAAAATGCATAAAAGCAAACTGTACCCCCAACCACCTGGGGCACATGTCTCAGGACTTTCTGAGGCTGTGTCATGGACGCATTCTTAACCTTGGTAAAATAAACTATCTAAATTGACTGAAACCTGGTTCAGATATTTTGCATTCACACAGGACTATATATTATGTGAAAAAGCGTTTAATGAATAAAAATATGAGGCCGGGCGACGTGGCTCACGCATGTAATCCCAGCACTTTGGGAGGCTGAGGCGGGTGGATCACGACGTCAGGAGATCAACACCATCCTGGCTAACACGGTGAAACCCTGTCTCTACTAAAAATACAAAAAATTAGCTGGATGTGGTGGCGGGCGCCTATAGTCCCAGCTACTCAGGAGGCTGAGGCAGGAGAATGGCATGAACGGGAGGCAGAGCTTGCAGTGAGCCGAGATCGCTCCACTGCACTCCAGCCTGGGTGACAGAGCGAGACTCCGTCTCAAAAAAAAAATAGTAATAAAAAAGTTAAAATATGAGTATTCTTAAACTATAAATAATTCTTAGCATATATCTCATGCCTTTCTAATTTTGAATAAAAGAAACTTCACTCACGCCAGGTATGTCTGGGGGTCATTCTGGTGATCCTAGCCTGTTCTAAGAAAGGTCTGGAATATTTGTAGGAGTTTCATAATTTAATGTCTATATAATTATCATCTAGTACTTCAGTGAGAATATTAGAAGTGGTGAATGCAGAGATGACACATTACCATTACCGTTGACAGGTTCACCATTTACAGATGTGTCCTATGTAAGACATATGATTGAGGGTGAGTGCGCTGAAATGCAGCCCATAGTTTCTTCGTCATGGTACAAGATCATTGATACGGAGCTTGGGCACCTTATTCCATTTTTAAAACAGGTAGCTTGTGGGCTTTCAGGTAGCCTGGGCCTTTAAGGAACTGTTGTGAGCTGTGTTTTACTGGAATTCAGCTGGCCACAGGATTAAAAGACAACCAGAAGGTATTTCAGTAGAGAGAATTTAGTACAAATTTATGCCGGAGAGAGAGAATATAAACCAACAGTCTAAGGAATTAGTTGAATTGATGTTGGGGGGCTGTAAGCAACGGAGAGCCCTGGGGCAACCTAGAGCTGATGAGTGCAGGGAGCAGCCCTTTCCCCTGAGCCAGAGAAATGACAGGAAGGGCCACCTACCACAACCGAAAGGCTTACAGGATTTGAAACCAGTCTGGCCAACATGGTGAAACCCCCATCTCTACTAGAAATACAAAAATTAGCTGAGTGTGGTGGCATGTGCCTGTAATCCTAGCCACTCAGGAAGCTGAGGGAGCAGAATCGCTTGAACCCAGGAGGCGGGGGTTGCAGTGAGCCGAGATGGTGCCACGGCACTCCAGCTTGGGTGACACAAGTGAAACTCCATCTCAAAAAAAAAAAAAAAAAAATAGGCTTAGAGAAGAGGCTCCATGGAGCTGGGCTTCTCAGCTCAAAGGTCCTGCCTAGCTGCTGCTCGTTACTCAGGACTCAGAGCAGGGCACCTCCTGGTTATAAGTGTGCCTTTACTGTGTTATAAGTAAGGTTTTGGTGCTGCAAAAGAAATAGCACTCGAATATACAATTTTCTTTTTTACTTCTCAGCAAGGCGATTTACTTCTGTAGAAGGGTACGCCCTTACAGATGGAGCAATGGTAAGCTCACACTTGGACAAGGGAGGGGAAGGGGTTCTTATCCCTTACGCGTATGGCTCCTGCTGCTGTGTCATTCCCCTATTGGCTAGGGTTAGACCACACAGGCTAAACTAATTCCGGTTGGCTAATTTAAAGAGAATGACAGGGTGAGTGGTTTGGCGGGAGCCAGGGTAGATCAGAATGAGTCAGGGAGGAGCAGGTAATCAGAATGAGTCAGGGTGGAGCAGGTGATCGATAAAGGTTGGGTTACGAGGAAGTTAAGTTTAAAAGTAGAAGGCCAAGAATTGAAC
This sequence comes from Homo sapiens, assembly GCF_000001405.40. Lineage (NCBI taxonomy): Eukaryota > Metazoa > Chordata > Mammalia > Primates > Hominidae > Homo > Homo sapiens. Next base: position 18,577,699 of record NC_000010.11, on the reverse strand, counting down.
ATACTGACATATTGATTCTTTGAAGAGAAATTTAGAACTCATATCTAATAATTCCCTCTTCTCACATTTTCCTTATAGCTCTTTCTCTTCAAACTTCTTTAACATGTCTTGGCTTAGTTGTTCTGCTTGATTTTCCAAAAGGAGAAACTTCTCTGGATAAGGTGGAGATAGTTAAGGGAGATTTTAGTAAGTGCCATTTCTATGAGCCTCTGTACCAACCCATGGATGCGTGATATGACACAGCACCCAAGAAGAAGAAGTACACCCATTACGGCTGCGAGGGAAGTAAGAATTGAGGCTATTATTCCTTTCCATTTACCGAACCACTTTTCTAGCCATTCTATAAAAGGGTCATTTACCCTTGAGTTGTTGGCTAACTCATTAGACAGAGCAGTCAGACCTTGCAATGCCTTTGTTATATTTCCATCAGGGGCGGTGGTGTTTGGGATGAAGGTACAACATTGAGTTTTAATTATGAATCAAACTCCTCCTCTTTCTGCTAATATCATGTCTAAGGCTGTCCTATTTTCCCAAGCTATCTGGCTAGTAGCCCCTAATTGCTCAGCTATTCCTTTAACAGCATCTGTAGTGTAGTTAATAAATCGCCGTTGGTTGTAATAGATATAGTGTATCCAATCTACATTTTTATTGTCACCTACCAAAATATTGACTCAAATCCTGCAGCTATTTGATCTCAGGCTTTAAATTGATCTGGTATTCCCCATGAGACTCCAATTGCGTCTAAATAGACATGAGAGTTGAAGGACCCATAAGGGGCTTCTCTTGCTTACAATGTCCTATTTTTTCTTCCTCTGGTTGATGAAATGCCAGGGTGAAAGGGATAGCTAATTGTACTAAAGCACAGGTGCCACTCCAGTTACTTGGCAGAGTATCCAGTAAAGGTCTACCACAATACCACCACAATCTGCTCGGGGACGAACAAGGGCTGACTGACTGGTAAGCTCTTAAAAATTCTTAAGCTCACTGCATCCCTTCCGGTCTCCAAGGAATGCTAAGTTTCCTCCCTGTCATGAGAGACACAAAGTGAACTTAGTGTTGGGGGATGGAAGCTGGATGGCCCTCGGGGGCTGACCTGCAGGGTGTCAAACTTCGGGATGTAGCAGAGAGAGAGCTTGGCATGACTTGTTACCCCAGGCTGTAGAATCCTGGAAAAGAGTTTTAGTTTAGTTTTAGGAAATTACAAAAACCTTTTGGGGCAGTCCATCCTTGCTCTTTAGTGGTCCACAGAATGTTGGACCAACTATGGCATAAAAGCTCTACATTGAGGGTAAGACTCCTGGTTGACACTGGGGTCTATTGAAATCTCCCTGGATTAAATGGTCCCAATTCACTAATACCTAGTCTGAGGAGAGCCAGGAGGGACAGAGGTACTTTTCTGAAGTGGAGATCTGTCTTCGACTTGGCAAGTCCTTATAGGGTATAAGAAGGCAAGCATCAAATGCAGTAGTTTGAGGTGAAAATGACTTGGTTATGTTAATACTAGATGGTCAGCAATAGAGCAAGGAAAGAAGAAAGAGTAATAGATCAAAGAGTTAAATTCTTAGCTTTAGTTTGGTGTAGGGTTTTCCCCTGGGACTATGGCCCATGACTCTGGATGGGGCAGCGCTTTCTTGACTCAGTTGTGATGAGTCCATCCTCTCTCAGCTGTACGGACTGTGGTTTCAGTAGTTAGGAGCACTAAGTAAGAACCTTCCCAGGCTGGCTTGAGCTTCTCCTTCCAGCTTTTGATGAGGATGTGATCCCCAGGCTGATCTTGATGCACCCGGAACTCTAAGGACAGCGCCTGTACTAATAGACCTTTAGTTTTAAGAGAAGAGAAAGTAGAAAATAGACCAAGTATATAATTTTTTAGGAATTGATCTTTTGTTTCAAAGGTAGGAGTATCAGCAGCGGAGTGTAAATAAGGCAATCCATAGAGCATCTCATAAGGAGAAAGACCAGTATCTTTCCGTGGTGCATTTCAAATTCTCAGCAGGGCAATAGGAAGACACTTGGTCCATGGCAATCGAGTCTCTAAGACTAACTTGGTTAAGTGGTTCTTTAAGGTCTGATTCATTCTTTCTACTCTCCCTGATGAGGGTTGGTGCCAGGGAGTATGGTATTGCCATCTAATGTCTAATGTTTGGGATAGCTTTTTAATAATGTGTGTGGTGAAATGAGTTCCATTGTCTGAATCAATGTTCTCTATTAGTACAAACCTGGATACTATATTTTCAATTAGGGCCTTAACTACATTATTGGCTGTCGCATTTGAAATGGGGATAGCTTCAGCCCAGTGAGTGAGGTGGTCTACTATCACTAGTAAATATTTTAGACAGCCTATTGGAGACATTTCTGTGTAATCAACTTGGATACTTTGGACTGAACTTAAGCCCAGATTCCTTTACCTGAGAGGTAATCTTTTTATAGTTTCTTAGTTTTCTTATATACTAAGCAACTATTTATAACCTGTTTGGCCAGGGTATAAATTCCTATACAACCATAAACTCTGAGAATTATGTCACACATGGCCTGGGGCCCCCAATTGGTCCCTTGATGTAGTTAGGGTAAGACGTCCCTCATAAGGGGTTTAGACAACATTTCTCTCTGGTCTGGCAATATCCATTTTCATTCTGAATTCTCTTTAGCGCCTATTTTTATTAGTTTTTCCTTTTTGATGGAAGAGAAAATGGGGATTACAGTAGGAGGAGGGAGATGGGGAGTTAAGTGAAAAATATGCATTTCAGAAGATACAACAGACTGCTTGGCTACCTGATCTGCTGGGTTATTTCCTCGACTTTCAAAAGAAAGGCTTTTCTGGTGTCCGGAAACATGGACAATAGTTGTTTCCTCTGGCAACTGAAGATTATTCAGTACTCGGGTGATTAGCTCCTTGTGAACAAGGTCTTGATCTTTAATATTAATGAGACCTCATTCACTCCGAATTTTCCCAAATGTATGAGCCACTCCAGAGGCATACCTGGAATTGGTATAGATGGTTCCTTCCTGGTTCTGTAAGTACTGTAAGGCTTGGCTGAGTGCAAACAGCTCACACGTTTGAGCAGACCAGCTGTTGGGCAAGTTTCCTGACTCAATTTCTACAAGAGTTTCTCTATCAATCACTGAATGCCCATTGTGTCTTTTTCCCTCAGTCACCTGGGAGGAAGCATCTATGAATAAGTGCCATCCAGTCTGGAAGGGAGTTTCTTCTAGGTCTGGTCAAACCTTTGTATGATAATAAATTAAATCTAACGTGTGTTCCCTCCTTAGATTTGGATTTCCTGTTAGGAAACCTGCTGGGTTGAGTGAATTTTCGGTGGTCTATGTTAAATCATTCTTTTCTAACATAATGGCTTCATACTTTAAGATTCTCGAGTCAGTAAGCCATCTCCCTGCTCTCTGGTTAACGTAGTTCTAACTTGGTGAGGCGTGCTTGCTCTCAGTTTTCCTCCAAAGGTTAACTTTCTGCTTTCTTCGACTAATAACTGTGGTAGCCGTGTTGGACTGGATGCATTGAGGCCATCCACAAGTGACTGGGTCTAAGACATTTGATAGGAAGGCCACAGTCTGCTGGCAGCCTCCGTGTTCTTGAGTCAGCACTCCTAAAGCTACTCCACTGTCCACATTAACAAAAAGGTGGAATGGCTTTTCTGGGGAGAGTAAGGCTAAAACAGGGGCAGTTATGAGCCTTTCCTTCAGCTCCTCGACTTGATTAACTTCCTCAGAAGTCCACAGGATATGGTTAGGCTTCTCCTGGGCAAATTTTCGATATAACAGTTTACTGTGCAGTGCATATGAGTCAATCCATAAGTGGCAGTATCCAACTAAGCCTAAAAATTTCCCGAGTTCTTGTTTAGTTTGAGGCAAGGGTAGGGACGTGATTCCCTCGATTTGTTCACACCTTATTCTTCACTTGCCTGCACCTACTAAGTGGCCTAAATATTTAACTTTGGGCTTTACATACTGAAGCTTTCTTTTTGAGACTCGTAGCAACCCTCAAACTGCAGATGGTTAAGAATATGTGTAGAGAAGTCAGTTACCTTCCCTATATCTTCATCAGATTTGAGAAGGTCATCCACGTACTGGAGAAGGCATATTTGTTCTGGGATGACAACTTTTTCTAGAACTTGTTGTAAAATTTGGCCAAAAAGACTGTGGGAGAAGGGAATGGAGAATGGAGAACGGAATGGAATGGAACGTAGAATGGTATGGAGAATGCAATGGAATGGAGAATGGAATGGAATATGGAATGGAATGGAGAATGGAATGGAAAGGAAAATGGAACCGATGGAATGGAAGGGAGAATGGAATGGAATGGAGAATGGAAAGGAATTGGAAATTGAATGAGGAATGGAAAGGAATGGGTAATGGAATGGAATGGAGAATGGAATGGAATGGAGAATGGAATGGGATGGAGTATGCAGAATGGAATGCAATGGACAATGGAAAATGGAATGGAGAATGAAATGAAACGGAGCATGCAATGGAGTGGAGAATGGAGTGGAATGGAGAATGCAGTGGAATGGACAGTGGAATGGAATGGAATGAAATGGAGAGTGGAACGGAATGGACGATGGAATGGAATGGAGTGTAACGGAGGATGGAATGGAATGGAGTGGAACGGAGAATGGAATGGAATGGAGAAGAGAATGGAGAATGGAATGGAATGAAGAATGGAATACAGTGGAGAATGGAATGGAATGGAATAGAGAAAGGAATGGAGAATGAAATGGAATGGAGAATGGAATGGAATGGAGAAAGGAATGGAATGGAATGGAGGATGGAATGGAATGGAAAATGGAATGGAGAATGGAATGAAATGGAGAAAGGAATGGAATGAAATGCAGAAAGGAATGGAATGGAATGGAGAATGGAATGGAGGATGGAAGGGAATGGAGTATGGAATGGAATGGAATGGAGTTTGAAATGGAATGGGGAATGGAATGGAGAATGAAATTGAAAGGAGGATGTGGAATGGAATGGAGAAGGGAATGGAATGGAGAATGGAAGGAGAATGGAAGAGAATGGAGAATGGAATGGAATGAAGAATGGAATGGAGAATAGAATAGAATGGAAAGGAGAATGGAATGAAATGGAGAATGGAATGGAGTTGAAATAGAATAAAAGGAAAGGAATGGAGAATGGAATGGAATGGAAAATGGAATGGAATAGGGAATGGAGATGGAATGCAGAATGGAATGGGGAGTGGAATGGAATGGGGAATTTAATTGGGAATAGAACAGAATGGGGAATGGAATGGACAATGGAATGGGGAATGGAATAGAATGGACAATGGATTGGAATGGAATGGAATAGAAAATGGAATGGAATGGAGAATGGAATGGAATGTGGATTGGAATGGAGAATGGAATGGAATGGAGATTGAACTGGAAGGGAGAGTGGAATGAAATGGAGAATGGAAGGGAATGGAATGGAGAATGGGATGGAATGGACAATGCAATGGGGAAGGGAATGGAGTGAACAATGAATTGAAATGGAATGGAATAGACAATAGAATGGAATGGAGAATGGAAGGGAATGTGGAGTGGAATGGAGAATGGAAGGGAATGGAGATTGAACTGGAAGGGAGAGTGAAATGAAATGGAGAATAGAAGGGAATGGAATGGAGAATGGAATTCAGTGGGAAATGGAATGGAAAGGAATGCAGTGGAGAATGAAATGCAATGGAGAATGGAATGGAATGGAGACTGGAATGGAATGCAGTGGTGAATGGAGTGGAATAGAAAATGGAATGGAATGGAGAATGGAATGGAAAGGGGAATGGAATGGAGAAAGGAATAGAATATGGAATGGAATGGAGAATAGAATGGAATGGAAAATGTAATGGAATGCCGTGGTGAATAAAATAGAATGGAGAATGGAATGCAGTGTAATGGAATGGAGGATGGTATGGAGAATGGAATGGAATGGAGAATGGAACAGAATGCAGAATGGAATGGAATGGAATGTGGAATGGAATAGAGAATGGAATGGAATGGAGAATGGAATGGAGATGGAATTGAGATTGGAATGGGATGGAGAATGAAATGGAGTGCAGTGCAGTGGAGAATGGAATGGAATGGGAGAATGGAATGGAATAGAGAATGGAATGGAATGGACATTGGAATAGACATGGAATGGAGAATGGAATAGAATGCAATGGAGAATGGAGTGGGGAATGGAATAGAATGGGGAATGGAATGGAAAGGGGAAGGGAATGGAATGGAGAATGGATTGGAATGGAATAGAGAATGGTTTGGAATGGAATGAAGAATGGAATGGAATAGAGAATGGAATGGAATGTAGAATGGAATGGAATGGAGATTGAACTGGAATGGAGAGTGGAATGCACTGGAGAATGCAAGGGAATGGAATGGAGAAAAGAAGGGAATGGAATGGAGAAAAGAAGGGAATGGAATGGAGAAAGGAAGGGAATGGAAAGGAGAATGGAGAATGGAATGGAATGAAGAATGGTATGGAACAGAATGGAGAATGGAAGAGAATGGAAGGGAATGGAATGGAGAATGGAATGCAGTGAAGAATGGAATAGAATAGATAGTGGAATGGAGAATGGAATGAAAAGTGGAATGGAATGGAGAATGGAATGGAATGGAGCATGGAATGCAATGAAATGGAGAATTGAGTGGAGAGTGGAATGGAAAGTAGAGAATGGAATGGAATGGGGAATTGAATGCAGTGGTGAATAGAATGGAATGGAAAATGGAATGGGAATGGAATGGAGAAAAGAGAACATGGAATGTAGAATGTAATTGAATGTAGAATGGAATGGAATGGAGAATGGAATGGAATGGAGAATGCTATGGAATGCAGTGGAGAATGGAAGAGAATGGAATAGAGAATGGGATGGAATGCAGTGGTGAATAGAGTGGAATGGAGGATGGTATGGAGAATGGAATGGAAGGGAGCATGGAATGGAATGGAGAATGGAATGGAGAATGGAATGAAATGGAGTGGAGAATGGAATGGAATAGAGAATGGAATGGAATGGAGCATGAAATGGAATGGAGAATAGAATGGAATGGAATGGATGATGGTATGGAGAATGGAATGGAATGGAGAATGGAATGGAATGGACAGTGGAATGGAATGGAGAATGGAATGGACACTGGATTGGAATGGAGAATGGAAAAGAGCGGAATGGAATGGAGGATGGAATGGAGAATGGAATGGAAAGGAGGATGGAATGGAATGGAAAGTGGAACGAAATGGATTGGAGAATGGAATGGAATGGAGAATGGAATGGAATGGAGAATGGAATGGAGAATGGAAGGGAATGGAATGGAATATGGTATGGAATGGAGGATTAAATAGAATGGATAATGGAATTGAATATGGAATGGAGCATGGAATAGAATGAAATGAAGAATGGAATGGAGAATGGTGTGGAATGGAAGGGAAAATGGAGAATGGAATGGAATCGAGAATTGAATGGAATGGAATGGAGAATAGAATGCAATGGAATGGGATGGACATGAATGGAGAATGGAATGAAATAGAATGGAGAATGGAGTGGAATGGAATGGAGAATGGAATGGAATGCGAAATGGAATGGAATGAAGAATGGAGAATGGAATAGAATAGAATGGGCAGTGGAATGGAATGGAGAATGGAATGGAATGCAAATAGAATGGAATGGAGAATGGAATAGAATGGAATGAATAGTGGAATGCAATGGAGAATGGAATGGAATTGAGAATGGAATGGGGAATGTAATGGAATGGGGAGTAGTATGGAGTGCAATAGAGAAAGGAAAGGAATGGAATGGAGAATGGAAGGAAATAGAAGGGAGAATGGAATGGAATGGAGAATGGAATGGAATGCGGAATGGGATGGAATGGAGAATGGAATGGTATGGAGAATGGAATAGAGAATGGAATGGAATGGAGAATGGAATGAAATGCAGTGGTGAATAGAATGAAATGGAGAATGGGATGTAATGGAATGGAGGATGGTGTGGAGAATGGAATAGAATGGAGAGTGGAATGGAGAAAGGAATAGAATATGGAATTGAATGCAGTAGTGAATATAATGGAATGGAGAATGGAATGTAATGGAATGGAGGTTGGTAAGGAGAATGGAATGGTGTGGAGAATGGAATGGACAATAGAATGGAAGGGAGAATGGAAAGGACTTGAAAATGGAAAAGAATGGAATGGAATGGAGGATGGAATGGAATGGATAGTGGAATGAAATGGAATGGAGGATGGAAAGGAATGGAATGGAGGTTGGTAAGGAGAATGGAATGGAATTGAGAATGGAATGGGCAATGGAATGGAAGGGAGAATGGAATGGAAAATGGAAGAGAATGGAATGGAGAATGCAATGGAATGGAAAATGGAATGAAATGCAATGGTGAATACAATGGAGTGGAGAATGGAATGGAATGGAGGATGGTATGGAGAATGGAATGGACTTGGAAATGGAGGAGAATGGAATGGAACGGAGAGTGGAATGAAATGGAGAATGGAATGCAGAATGGAATGGAATGGAGAATGGAATGGAATGGAATAGAGAATGGAATGGAGAATGCAGTGGAATGGGGAATGGAATGGAGAATGTAACGGATGGAGAATGGAATGGAATGTGGAATTGAATGGAATGGAGAATGGAATGAAATGGAGAATTGATTGGAATGGAATTGAATAGAGAATGTAATGGAAGGGAGAATATAATGGAAAGGAATGGGGAAGGGAATGGAATGGAGAATGGAATAGAATGGAGAATGGATTGGAATGGAATGGAGAACCAAATGGAGAATGGAATGGAATGGAGAGTAGAATGGATTGGAATGGAACAGAATGGAGAGTGGAGAATAGAAAGGAATTGAATGTAGAATGGAATAGAGAATGGAATGGAATGGAGAACGGAATGGAATGTGGAATGGAATGAAGAATGTTAGGGAGACTGCAATGGAATGTGAAATGTATTGGAATATGGAATGCAATGGAGAATGAAATGGAATGGACAGTGGAGTGGAGAATGGAAGGGAATGGAATGCAGAATGGAATGGAAGTGAATGGAGAATAGAATGGAAAAGAGAATGGAATGGAATGGAGAATGGAATGCAATGGGGATTTGAATGTGGAATGGAATGCAATGGAAAGGGGAATGGAATGGAAAGGAGAATGGATTGGAATGGAATGGAGAATGGATTGGAATGGAATAGAGAATGGTTTGGAATGGAATGGAGAATAGAATGGAATGCAATGGAGAATGGAATGGAATGGAGATGGAGCTGGAATGGACAATGGAATGAAATGGAGAATGGAATGGAATGGAGAATGGAATGGAGAAAGGAAGGGAAGGGAATGGAATGGAATCGAGAATGCAGAATGAAATAGAATGGATAATAGAATGGAATGCGGAATGGAATGGAGAATGAACTGGAATGGAAAAAGGAATGGAATGGAGAATGGTATGGAGTGGAACAGAGAATGGTAGAGAATGAAATGGATAATGGACGGGAATGGAATGGTGAATTTTGTGGAATGGAGAATGGAATAGAATGGATAATGGAATGGAGAATGGAATGGCATGAGAAATGTAATGTAATGCAGAATGGAATGGAATGGAGCATGGAGTGCAATGAAATAGAGAATGGAATGGAATGGAACGGAAAATGGAGAATGGAGAATAGAATGCAATGGAGAATAGAATGGCATGCAGTGGTGAATAGAAAGGAATGGAGAATGGAATGGAATGGGGAATGGAATGGAGAAAGGAATAGAATATGGAATGGAATGGAGAATGGAATGGAAAATGGAATGGAATGCAGTGGTGAATAGAATGGAATGGAGGATGGTATGGAGAATGGAATAGAATGGAAAATGGAATGGAGTAGAGAATGGAATGTAAAGGAATGGAATGGAGAATGGAATGAAGAATGTAGAATGCAATGGAATGGAGAATGGAATGAAATGGAGAAAGGAATGGAATGAAATGCAGAATGGAATGGAGGATGGAATGCAATGGAGAATAGAATGGAAGGAGAATGGAATGGAATGCGGAATGGAATGCAATGAGGAATGGAATGGAATGGAGAATGGAATAGAGAATGGAATGGAATAGAGAATGGAATGGAGAATGGAATGCTATGGAGAATGGAATGGAACGGAATGGAGAATGGAAGAGAATGGAATGGAGAACGGAATGGGATGCAGTGGTGAATAGAATGGAATGGAGAATGGAATGGAATGGAGGATGGTATGGAGAATGGAATGGAATGGAGCATGGAATGGAATGGAGCATGGAATGAAATGGAGCATGAAATGCAATGATGGAGAATGGTATGGAATGGAATGGAAAATGGAATATGGAATGGAATGGAGAATAGAATGGAATGGAATGGAATGCATTGGTGAATAGAATGGAATGGAGGATGGTATAGAAAATGGAATGGAATGGAGAATGGAATAGAATGGAGAAAGGAATAGAATATGGAATGGAATGGAGAATAGAAGGGAATGGAATACAGTGATGAATAGGCTGGAAGGGAGAATGGAATAGAATGAAATGTAATGGAGGATGTAATGGAGAATGGAATGGAATGCAGTGGTGAATAGAATGGAATGAAATGGAGGATGGTATGGAAAATGGAATGGAATGGAGAATGGAATAGAATGGAGAAAGGAATAGAATATGGAATGGAATGGAGAATGGAATGGAGAGTAGAATGGAATGGAATGCAGTGGTGAATAGAATGGAATGGAGAATGGAATAGAATGAAATATAATGGAGGCTGGAATGGAGAATGGAGTGGAATGGAGAATAGAATGGACAATGGAAAGGAATGGAGAATGGAATGAATGGAATGGAGAATGGGAAAGAGTGGAATGGAATGGAGAATGGAATGGAATGAAAAATGGTATGGAATGGAGAATTGAAGGGAATGGGTAATGGAATGGAATGCAGAATCGAATGGAGCATCGAATGGAATGGAGCATGGAATGGAATGAAATGGAGAATGGAGTGGAGAATGGTGTGGAATGGAACAGAAAATGGAGCATTCAATGGAATGGAGAATAGAATGGAATGGGAAATGGAATGGAATAGAATGGAGAATGGAAGGGACTGGAGAATGGAATGGAATGGAGAGTAGAATGCAATAGAATGGAATGGAATGGAGAATGGAATGGATTGGACAGGAATGTAGAATGGAGTGGAATAGAATGGAGAATGGAATGGAATGGAGAATGGAATGGAATGGAGAATGGAATGGAATGCAGAATGGAATGGATTGCTGAACGGAATGGATTGTGGAATGGAATAGAATGAAGAAGAATGGAGAATGGAATGGAGAATGGAATGGAATGTGGAGTGGAATGGATTGCGGAATGGAATGGATTGTGGAATGGAATAGAATGAAAAAGAATGGAGAATGGAATAGAATGGGATGGAGAATGGAATGGAATGGAGAACGGAATGGAATGTGGAATGGAATGGATTGCGGAATGGAATGGATTACAGAATGGAATAGAATGAAGAATGGAGAATGGAATAGAATGGAATGGAGAATGGAATGGAATGGAGAATGGAATGGAATGTGGAATGGAATGAAATGTGGAATGGAATGGATTGTGGAATGGAATAGAATAAAGAATGGAGAATGGAATAGAGTAGAATGGAGAATGGAATAGAGTGGAATGGAGAATGGAATGGAATAGAGAATGGAATGGGGATTGTAATGGAATGGGGAATGGTATGGAATGGAAGAGAATGGAATGGAGAATGGAAGGGAATGGGAGGGAGAATGGAATGGAATGCAGAATGGAGAACGGAATGGAATGGAGAATGGAATGGAATGCAGAATGAACTGGAATGGAGAATAGAATGGAATGGACAATGGAATGGAATGGAGAATGGAATGGAGTGGAGAAAGGAATGGAGTGGAGAATGGAATGAAAGGGAGGATGGAATGGAATGAAATGGAGCGTGGAATGGAGATTGTTGTGAATATAATAGAGAATGGAATGGCATGGAGTGGAATGGAATGGAAGGAAGAATGGAATGGAATGTAGTGGAAAATGGGAAGGAATGGAGAATGGAATGGAAAATGTAACAAATGGAGAATGGAATGGAGAATGGAATAGAGTGCTGAATGGAATGGAGAATGGATTGGAATGGAATGCCACGGAGAATGGAGAATGTAATGTAATGGAAAATGGAGTAGAATAGAATGGAATGGAGAATGGAATGGAATAGAATGGAGACTGAACTGGAATGGAGAGTGGAATGAAATGGAGAATGGAATGGAGTGGAGAATGGTATGGAATGGAATGGAGAATGGTATGGAATGGAAGGGAATGAAATGGAGAGTGGAAGGGAATAGAATGGAGAATGGAAGGGAATGGAATGGAGAATGGAATGGAATCGAGAATGCAGAATGGAATGGAAAATGTAATTGATTACGGAATGAACTGGAATGGAAAACGGAATGGAATGGAGAATGGTATGGAACTGAGAATGTTATGGAACGGAATGGAGAATGGAAATAATGGAACAGAGAATGAAAGGGAATGAAATGGAGAATGGTATGCAATGGAGAATGGAATAGAATGGAGAATGGAATGGAACGTGGAATGGAGTGTAATGTAATGGAGAATGGAAAGGAATGGAATGGAGCATGGAAAGCAATGAAATGGAGAATGGAGTGGGGAATGGAATGGAATGTGATGGAATGGAAAATGGAGAATGGAATGGAATGGAGAATGGAATGGAATGAAGAATAGAATGCAATGAAATGGAATGGAATGGAGAATGGAATGGAATGAAGAATAGAATGCAATGAAATGGAATGGAATGGAGACTGGAATGGAATGGACAGGAATGGAGAATGGAATAGAATTGAATGGAGAATGAATTGAATAATGGAATGGAATGCAGAATGGAATGGAATGGAGAATGGAATGGAATGCAGTATGGTATGGAATGGAATGGAGACTGGAAGGGAATGGAAAGGAGAATGGAATGGAATGTAAAATGAAGAATGGAATGGAATGGAGAACAGAATGCAATGGAGAGTGGAATGCAGTGTGGAATGGAATGGAAGGGAGAGTGAGCTGGAATGGAGAATGGTACGGAATGGAGAATGAAATGGAATGAAGTGGAGAATGGAATAGAGAATGGAATGGAATGGACAATGGAATGGGGAATGGAATGGAGTGGAGAATGGAATGAAAGGGAGAATGGAATGGAATGAAATTGAGCATGGAATGGAGAATGGGTATGAATGGAATAGAGAGTGGAATGGAATGGAACGGAGAATGGAATGGAATGGAGTGAAAAATGGACGGGAGAATGGAATGGAATGGAGAATGTAACAGATGGAGAATGGAATGCAATGGAGAATGGAAAGGAATGCGGAAAGGAGTGGAATGGAATGGAGAATGGAATAGAGAATGCAGTGGAGTGGAGAATGTATGGGAATGGAATGGAGAATGGAATGTAATAGAGAGTGGATGGAATGTATTACAGTGGAGAATGAAATGGAATGGAATGGTATGGAATGGAAAATGGAATGGACTGTAATGGAGAATGGACTGGGAAATGGGATGGAATATAATGGAGAATGGAATGGAATAGAGAATGGAAGAAATGGAATGGAATCAAGAATGGAATGGAATGAAATGAAATGGAGAATGGAATGTAAAATGTAATGGAGAATAGAATGGAATGCAGTGGAATGGAGAATGGAATGGAATGGAGTGGAGAATAGAAAGGAATCGAGAATGGAATGGAGTGAAGAATGACGTGGAATGGAATGGAGAATGTAATGTAATGGAGGATGGAATGGAATGGAGAATGGAATGGAATATGGAATGGAAGGGAGGATTGAATGGAATGGAGTGGAGAGTGTAGTGGAATGTAATTTAATGTGAATGGAATGGAATGGAGAATGGAATAGAGTGGAATGGAGAATGGAATGGTATGGAGAATGGAATGGAATGGAGAATGGAACGGAGTGGAATGAAGAATGGAATGAAATAGAGAATGGAATGGTATAGAGAATGGAATGGAATCGAATGGAGCATGGAATGGAGAATGCAATGGAATGGAATGGAATAGAAAAAGCAATGGAATGGAATGGAGAATGGAATGGAAGGGAAGGGAGAATATTCCATTCCACTTTCCATTCTACTCTCCATTCCACTCTCCATTCTATCCCATATTCCATTCCACTCTCCATTCTATTCCATTCTCCATTCCATACCGTTCTCCATTTCATTCCCTTTCATTCTCCATTCCATTCCTGCCATTCTCCATTCCGTTCCATACCATTCTCAGTTCCATACCATTCTCCGTTCCATTCCATTCTCCATTCTAGTTCATTCTCTATTCTATTCCATTCTGTAATCAATTACATTCTCCATTCCATTCTGCATTCTCGATTCCATTCCATTCTCCATTCCCTTCCCTTCCATTCTCCATTTCATTGCCTTCCATTCCATACCATTCTCCATTCCATTCCATACCATTCTCCATTCCATTCCATACCATTCTCCATTCCATTCCATTCTCCATTTTGTTCCACTCTCCATTCCAGTTCAATCTCCATTCTATTCTACTCCATTCTCCATTCCATTCCATTCCATTCTGCATTCTCTGTTCCATTCCATTCCAATCAATTCTCCATTCCATTCAGCATTCTATTCCATTCTCCATTCCATTCTCCATTTGTTACATTTTCCATTCCATTCTCCATTCCTTTCCATTTTTCACTACATTCCATTCCATTCTCCATTCCATTCCATTCTTCCTTCCATTCCATTCTTCCTTCCATTCCATTCCACTCCATGCCATTCCATTCTCTATTCCATTCATAAGAATCTCCATTCCACGCTCCATTTCATTCCATTCCATCCTCCCTTTCATTCCATTCTCCACTCCATTCCATTCCATTATCCATTCCATTCCATTGTCCATTCCAGTTCATTCTCCATTCCATTCCATTTCGCATTCCATTCCATTCTCCATTCCATTCCGTTCTCTATTCTGCATTCCATTCCATTCTCCTTCCCATTCCCTTCCATTCTCCATTCCATTCTCTTCCATTCTGTATTTCATTCCATACCATTCCCCATTCCATTACAATCCCCATTCCATTCTCTATTCCACTCCATTCTCCATTCCATTCTATTCCATTCTCCATTCCATTCTATTCCATTCTCCATTCTTCTTCATTCTGTTCCATTCTACAATCCATTCCATTCTGCAATCCATTCCATTCCGCATTCCATTCCATTCCGCATTCCATTCCATTCTCCATTCCATTCCGTTCTCCATTCCCTTCTATTCTATCCTCCATTCTTCTTCATGCTATTCCGTTTCGCAGTCCATTCCATTCTGCAATCCATTCCATTCTGCATTCCATTCCATTCTCCGTTGCATTCCATTCTCCATTCTATTCCATTCCATTCTGCATTCCTGTCCAATCCATTCCATTCTCCATTCCATTCCATTCTATTGCATTCTATTCTCCATTCCATTCCATTCTCCAGTCCCTTCCATTCTCCATTCTATTCCATTCCATTTTCCATTCCATTCTATTCTCCATTCCATTCAGTGCTCCACTTTCCGTTCCATTCCACTCCATTCTCCACTTCATTCCATTTCATGCTCCACTCCATTCCATGCTCCATTCCATTCCGCATTCCATTCCATTATCCATTCCTTTCAATTCTCCATTCCATATCATTTTTCATTCCATTCCATTCTCCATTCCATTCCACTCTTTTCCATTCTCCATTCCATTCATTCCATTCTCCATTTCTTTCCATTGTCCATTCTATTCTCCATTCCATTCCATTCTCCATTCCAGCCTGCATTACGTTTCATTCTATTACATTCTCCATTCCATTCTATTCACCACTGCATTCCATTCCATTGTATTCTCCATTCCGTTCTCCATTCTATTCCATATTCTATTCCTTTCTCCATTCTATTCCATATTCTATTCCTTTCTCCATTCTATTCCATTCTCCATTCTATTCCATTCTCCATTCCATTCCATTCTCCATTCCATTCCATTTTCCATACCATCCTCCATTCCATTCCATTCTGTTCACCACTGCATTCCATTCCATTCTCCATTCCATCCTCCATTCCATTTCATTTCATTCTATTCCATTCTCCCTTCTAGCCTATTTATCACTGTATTCCATTCCATTCTATTCTACATTCCATTCTCCATTGCATTCTATATTCTATTCCTTTTTCCATTCCATTCCATTCTCCATTCCATTCCATTTTCCATACCATCCTCCATTCCATTCTGCATTCCATTCCATTCACCACTGCATTCCATTCCATTGTATTCTCCATTCCGTTCTCCATTCTATTCCATATTCTATTCCATTCTCCATTCCATTCCATTCTCCATTCCATTCCATTTTCCATACCATCCTCCATTCCATTCCATTCTGTTCACCACTGCATTCCATTCCATTCTCCATTCCATCCTCCATTCCATTTCATTTCATTCTATTCCATTCTCCCTTCTAGCCTATTTATCACTGTATTCCATTCCATTCTATTCTACATTCCATTCTCCATTGCATTCTATATTCTATTCCTTTTTCCATTCCATTCCATTCTCCATTCCATTCCATTTTCTATACCATCCTCCATTCCATTCTGCATTCCATTCCATTCTATTCTCCATTCCATTCCATACCCCATTTTCCATTCCACTCCATACCATTCTCCATCACTGCATTTCATGTTCCATTTTATTCCATGCTCCATTCCATTCTATGCTCCATTCCATTCCATTCTCCATACCATCCTCCATTCCATTCCATTCTCCATTCCATTCTGTTCACCACTGCACCCCATTCCATTCTCTTCCATTCTCCATTCCGTTCCATATCATTCTCCATTCTCCATACCATTCCATTCTCTATTCCATCTCCATTCCATTCTCTATTCCATTCCATTCTCTATTCCATTCTCCATTCCATTCCATTCCTCATTGCATTCCATTCCACATTCCATTCCATTCTCCATTCCATTCTCCATTCTCCATTCCATTCTCCATTCCATTCCTTTATATTCCATTCTCTACTCCATTCCATTTTCCATTCTATTCCATTCTCCATACCATCCTCCATTCCATTCTATTCACCACTGCATTCCATTCCGTATTCCATTCCATTCTCCATTCCATTCCATTTTCTATTCCTTTCTCCATTCCATTCCATTCTCCATTCCTTTCTATTCACCAGTGCATGCCATTCTATTCTCCATTCTCCATTTTCTGTTCCGTTGCCCACTTCATTCTCTATTTCATTGCATTCCATGCTCCATTCCATTCCATCCTGCATTACATTACATTACATTTCTCATACCATTCCATTCTCCATTCCATTATCCATTCTATTCCATTCTCCATTCCATACCATTCTCTATTCCATTGCCGTCCATTATCCATTCCATTCTCTGCCATTCTCCGTTCCATTCCATACCATTCTCCATTCCATTCCATTTTCCATTCCAGTTCATTCTCCATTCCATTCCATTCCCCATTCCATTCTATTATCCATTCTGCATTCTCGATTCCATTCCATTCCCTTCCCTTCCTTTCTCCATTCCATTCTCCATTCCATTCCATTCCATTTTCCATTTCATTCCATTCTCCATTCCAGCTCAATCTCCATTCCATTCCATTCTCCATTGCATTCCATTCTCTATTCCATTCGATTCTCCATTCCATTCCAAACCATTCTCTATTCCATTCCAGTCCATTCTCCATTCCATTCCAATCCATTCTCCATTCCATTCCATTCCCCTTTCCATTGCATTCCATTCCGCATTCAAATCCCCACTGCATTCCATTCCCCATTCCTTTCTCCATTCCATTCCATTCTCTTTTCCATTCTATTCTCCATTCGCTTCCATTCCATTCTGCATTCCATTCCCTTCCATTCTCCACTCCATTGTCCATTCCATTCCATTGTCCATTCCATTTCATTCTTCATTGCATTCCATATTCCAATGCATTACATTTCACATTCCATTGCCGTCTCCGTAAGATTCTTAATTCCATTCCATTCTCCATTCCATTCCGCATTCCATTCCATTCTCCATTCCATTCCATTCTCTATTGCATTCTCCATTCCATTCAATTCGTTTCTATTCTCCACTCTCCATTCTGTTCCATTCCAATCCATTCTACTCTCCATTCCATTCCATTCCATTCTCCATTCGATTCTCCATTCCATTCCAATCCATTCTCCATTCTGTTCCATTCTCCATTCCATTCCATTCCCCATTCCATTCCCCATTCCTTTCCATTATATTCTCCCTTCCATTCCATTCTCTATTCAATTCCATTCCAATCAATTCTCCATTCCATCCCATTCTCCATTCCATTTCATTCCATTCTCCATTCCATTCAATTCCACATTCTAATCCATTCTCCATCCGTTACATTCTCCATTCCATTCCCCATTCCATTGCATTCACCATTCCATTCTCTATTCCATTCCATCTTCCATTCCATTCTATTCTCCATTCCATTCCATTCTGCATTCCATTCTCCATTTCATTCCACTCTTCGTTCCATTCAATTCTCCTCCATTTCCAATTCCATTCCATTCTCCATTCCATTCCATTCTCCATACCATCCTCCATTCCATTCTTCACTCCATTCTATTCACCATTGCATTTCATTCCATTTTCCATTCCATTGCATTCTCCATTCCATTCTTTTCCATTCTCCCTTCCATTCTCCCTTCCATTCCATTGTCCAGTCCATTCTCAATTCCATTCCATTCTTCACTCCATTCTATTCACCATTGCATTTCATTCCATTTTCCATTCCATTGCATTCTCCATTCCATTCTTTTCCATTTTTCATTCCATTCTCCCTTCCATTCCATTGTCCATTCCATTCTCAATTCCATTCCATTCTCCTTAACAACCTCCATTCCATTCCTTTCCATCCTCCATTCCATTTCATTCCACTTTCAATTCCATTCCTTCCGCCATTCCATTCCATTCTTTTCCATTTTCAATTCCTTTCCACTCTCCCTTCCATTCCATTCTCCATTCCATTCTCCACGCCATTCTGTTATCCTTACCAACCTCCATTTCATTACATTCCATTCTCCACTCCATTATATTCACTACTGCATTCCATTCCATTCTCCGTTCCATTCCATATTCTATTCCTTTCTCCATTCCATTCCATATTCTATTCCTTTTTCCATTCCCTTCTCCATTCTATTCCATTCTCCACACCATCCTCCATTCCATTACATTCCATTCTCCATTTCATTCTATTCACCACTGCATTCCATTCCATTCTCCACTCCATTCCATTCTCCATTCCATCCCATTCCTCATTCCATTCCATTCTGTTCTCCATTCCATTCCATTCTCCCTTCCATTTCCTTCCATTCTCCATTCCATTCCCTTCCATTCTCTATTGCACTCCATACTACTCCCCATTCCATTACATTCCCCATTCCATTCTCCATTGCATTCCACTGTGCATTCCATTCCATTCCATTCTCCATTCCATTCTTCATTCCATTCTATTCGCATTCCATTCCATTCTCCAGTCCATTCCACTCTATTCCATTCTCCATTCTTCATTCCATTCCATTCTCTATTCCATTCTGCATTCCATTCCATTCCATTCTCCATTCTATTTCATTTCATTCTCCATTCATGTCCATCCCATTCAGTTGCATTCTATTCTTCATTCCATTCCATTCAATTCTTGATTACCTTCCATTCTCCATTTTCCCTTCCATTCCACACCATTCTCCATTCCATTCTTCATTTCATTCCATTCCATTCCACGCTCCATTCCATATTCCATTCTATTTTCCATTCTATTTAATCCTCCATTCCATACCATTTTCCATTCCATTCCCTTCCATTATCCATTCCATTCTGTTCCATTCTCCATTCCATTCTATTCTCCATTCCAGTTCATTCTCCATTCCATTCCATTCTCCATTCCATTTCATTCCGCTTTCCATTCCATTCCATCCTCCTTTCCATTCCATTCTCCATTCCATTCTGCTCTTTTCCATTCTCCACTCTATTCCATTCTCCGTTCCAATCCATCTTCCATTCCATTCTCCATTCCATTCATTCCACTGTCCATTCCATTCTCCATACCATCATCCATTCCATTCCATTCCATTCTCCCTTCCATTCTATTCTCCATTCCATTCCATGCTCTATTCCATTCCATTCTCTATTCCATTCCATTCTCCATTCCATTTCATTCCATTCTCCATTCCATTCCATTCTCCATTCCATTCCATGCTCCCTTCCATTCCACTCTCCACTCCATTTCATTCTCCATACCATCCTCCATTCCATTCTGTTCACCACTGCATTCCATCCGCTTCGCCATTCGATTCTCTTCCACTCTCCACTGCATTCCATAGCATTCTCCATTCCATTCCATTCTGCATTCAATTCCATTCTCCATTCCATGTTCTCTTTTCTCCATTGCATACGCATTCCATCCTCCACACCATTTTCCATTCCATTCTATTCACCACTGCATTCCATTCCCCATTCCATTCCATTCTCTACTTTCCATTCCATTCTGCACACTATTCTCCATTTCATTGCATTCCATGCTGCATTCCATTCCATTTTCCATTCCATTCCACTTTCCATTCCATTCTCCATTCCACTATCTATTCTATTCCATTTTTCACTGCATTCCATTCTCCATTCCATTCCCTTCCATTCTCCATTCCATTCCCTTCCATTCTCCATTCCGTTCCATACCATTCTCCATTCCATTCCATTTTCCATTCCATTCCCTTCCTTTCTCCATTCCATTCCCTTCCTTCCTCCATTCCATTCCCTTGCATTCTCCATTGCATTCCACTCTCCATTTCAGTTCAGTCTCCATTCCATTCCATTCTACCTTCCATTCCATTCTTCATTCCATACCAAATCCTTCTGTATTCCATTCCAATCCATTCTCCATTCCATTCCCTTCCCCTTTCCATTCCATTCGCATTTCAATTCCCCATTCTATTCCATTCCCCACTCCATTCTCCATTCCGTTCTCCATTCCATGTCCATTCCATTCCATTGTCTATTCCATTCCATTCTCCACACCATCCTCCATTCCATAACATTCCATTCTCCATTTCATTCTATTCACCACTGCATTCCATTCCATTCTCCGTTCCATTCCATTCTCTATTCCATTCTCCATTCCATTCCATTCCATTCTCCATTTCATCCCATTCTGCATTCCATTCCATTCAGTTCTCCATTCCATTCCATTCTCCCTTCTGTTTTCTTCCATTCTTCATTCCATTGCCTTCCATTCTCTATTGCATTCCATACTACTCCCCATTCCATTACATTCCCCATTCCATTCTCCATTGCATTCCACTGTGCATTCCATTCTATTCCATTTTCCATTCCATTCTTCATTCCATTCTATTCGCATTCCATTCCATTCCACTTCCCATTGCATTCTATTCCATTCTTCATTCTTCATTCCATTCCACTCTGCATTCCATTCCATTCCATTCTCCATTCCATTCCATTCTCCATTCATGTCCATCCCATTCAATTGCATTCTATTCTCCATTCCATTCCATTCAATTCTCGATTCCATTCCATTCTCCATTTTCCCTTCCATTCCACACCATTCTCCATTCCAGTCTTCATTTCATTCCATTCCATATTCCATTCTATTATCCATTCTATTTAATTCTCCATTCCATACCATTTTCCATTCCATTCCCTTCCATTCTCCATTCCATTCCATTCCATTCCATTCTCCATTCCATTCTATTCTCCATTCCAGTTCATTCTCCATTCCATTCCATTCTCCATTCCATTTTTCTCCATTCCATTTCATTCCACTTTCCATTCCATTCCATCCTCCTTTCCATTCCATTCTCCATTCCATTCCGCTCTTTTCCATTCTCCATTCTATTCCATTCTCCATTCTAACCCATTGTCCATTCCATTCTCCATTCCATTCCACTGTCCATTCCATTCTCCATACCATCATCCATTCCATTCCATTCTGTTCTCCATTACATTCCATGCTCCATTCCATTCCATTCTCTATTCCATTCCATTCTCCACTCCATTTCATTCCATTCTCCATTCCATTCCATTCTCTATTCCATTCCATGCTGCCTTCATTCCATGCTCCCTTCCATTCCATTCTCCATACCATCCTTCATTCCATTCTATTCACCACTGCATTCTATCCCATTCTCTATTCCACTCTGTTCCATTCTCCAATGCATTCCATAGCATTCTCCATTCCATTCCATGCTCCATTCGATTCCATTCCATTCTCCATTCCATTCCATTCTCCATACCATTCCATTCTCTATTCCATTCCATTCTCCATTCCACTCTATTCCATTCTCCATTCCATTCCATTCTTCATTCCATTTCATTCACATTCAGTTACTTTCCTCTATACTCTCCACTCTATTCCATTTCATCCTCCATTCCATTCCATATTCCATTCCATTCTCCATTCCATTCCATCCTCCATTCCATTCCATCCTCCATTCCATTCTCCATTACATTACATTCTCCATTTCCTTTCATGCCATTCTTCACTCCATTCCATTCTCTATTCCTTTCTATTCTCCACTCCATTCCATTCTCCATTCCATTCCATTCTCCATTCCACTCTCCATTCCACTGCATTCCATTCTATTCTCCATTACATTTTCCATTCCAGTGTCCATTCCATTCTCCATTTCATTTCATTCCATTCCATTCCATTCTTGATTCCATTCCGTTTCTTCCATTCTCTATTCCATTCCATTCTCCATTATATTCCATCCCATTTCCCAGTCCATTCTCCATTCCATTCCATGCCGTTTTCCATTCCATACCATTCTATTCCATTCCATTTCATTCTCCATTGTAATACATTCCATCCACTCTCCATTACATTCCATTCTCCATTCCATTCCCATACATTCTCCACTCCACTGCATTCTCTCTTCCATTCTGCATTCCATTCAGCATTCCATTCCATTCTCCATTGCATTCCATTCTCCATCTGTTACATTCTCCATTCCATTCCATTCTCCAGTCCTTTTTCCACTACAGTCCATTCCATTCTCTGTTCCATTCCATTCCACTCCATTCCATTCAATTCTCTATTCCATTCATACCCATTCTGCATTCCACGTTCCGATTGATTCCATTCCATTCTCCCTTTCATTCCATTCTCCACTCCATTCCATTCCCCATTCCATTGTTCATTCCATTCCGTTGTCCGTTCCATTCCATTCTCTATTCCATTCTCCATTTCATTCCATTCTCCACTCCATTCCATTTCATTCTCCATTCCAGTTCACTCTCCATTCCATTCCATTCCACATTGCATTCCACTCTCCATTGCATTCTGTTCTCCATTCCATTCCATTCTTCTTTCTACATTCCATTCCATTCTCCTTTCCATTCCCTTCCAGTCTCCAGTCCATTCCATATCATTCTGCATTCCATTCCATTCCCCATTCCATTCCATTCTTGATTCCATTCCATTCCGCATTCGTTTATCCAATCCATTCTCCATTCAATTCTATTCCCTTCTCCATTCCTGTCCATTCCATTCCAGTCTCCATTCCATTGCATTCTATTCTCCATTCCATTCCATTCTCCATTTGAGTTCATTCTCTATGCCATTCCATTCTGTAATCAATTACATTCTCCATTCCATTCTGCATTGTCGATTCCATTCCATTCCCTTCCATTCTCCATTCCATTCCATTCCATACCGTTCTCCATTCCATTCCATTCCATTCTCCATCTCATTCCACTCTGCATTCCAGTTCAATCTTCATTCTATTCCATTCCATTCTCCATTCTATTCTATTCTACTCTATTCTCCATTGCATTCCATTCCATTCTCCATTCTCTATTCCATTCCATTCCAATCCATTCTCCATTCCATTCAGCATTCTATTCCATTCTCCATTCCATTCTCCATTTGTTACATTTCCATTCCATTCTGCATTCCTTTTCATTTTCCACTACATTCCATTCCATTCTCCATTCCATTCCATTCTTCCTTCCATTCCGTTCCACTCCATGCCATTCCATTCCCTATTCCATTCAAAACAATCTCCATTCCACACTCCATTTCATTCCATTCCATCCTCCCTTTCATTCCATTCTCCACTCCATTCCTTTCTCCGCTCCATTCCATTCTCCATTCCATTCCATTCTCCATTCCAGTTCATTCTCCATTCCATTCCATTTCGCATTCCATTCCATTCTCCATTCCATTCCATTCTCCGTTCTGCATTCCATTCCATTCTCCTTCCCATTCCCTTCCATTCTCCATTCCATTCTCTTCCATTCTGCATTTCATTCCATACCATTCCCCATTCCATTCCATGGAATGGAGAACGGAACGGAATAGAGAATGGAATGGTATGGAGGATGGAATGGAATGGAGAATGAAATGGAATCGAATGGAGCATGGAATGGAATGGAGAATGCAATGGAATGGAATGGAGAATGCAATGGAATGGAATGGAGAATGGAATGGAAGGGAAGGGAGAATGGAATGGAATGGAGAATCGAACGGAATGGAATGGAGAATGGAATCGAACTGAAGATGGAATTTAATGGAATGGAGAATGGATTGGGAAATGGAATGGAGAAGGGAATGGAATGAAATGGAGAATAGATTAGAGAATGGAGTGGAATAGAATGGAATGGAATGGAATGGAGAATGGAATGTAATGGAGAATTGAGTGGAGAATGGAATGGAGAGTCGAGTGTAGTGGAATGGAATGGAAGGGAGAATGGAATGGTGAATTGAGAATGGAATGGTATGTGGAATGCAGTGTAGTGTAGAATGGAATGTAATGGAGCATGGAATTGATTAGGGAATTTGAATGGAGAAGAATGGAATGGAGAATCAAATGGAATGGAGAATAGAATGGAGTAGAGAATTGAATGGAGTGGAATGGAGAATGGAATGGAACGCAGAATGGAATGGAATGGGGAATGGAATGGAATGGAATGGAGAATGGAATAGAATGGGGAATGGAATGGAATGCGGAATGAAATGGAATGCGGAATGGAATGGAAATCTTGGTAGCAGGTAGACAGCCCAAATATGTAAACAGACCACTTGGTTTCACACCTTCCTCCAATAATATTAAATAGATTAGAAGTTAGAGAAAATTACTGAAGTGAATGCAAAGGAAAACTTCGTGGAAGATTGAATCTAGGGGTGGTACTGGCTCATTCTCCCTATTCTAGACCATAGCCATTCTCATGGCCACAGAAACAAGGAGACTCAGGAACACAGAATCAGTGTGTTTCACAACAGTCAAACAGGCATTTTCTTGGGGGCTGTCTTCAATAGGAATTACCAAGAGAAGTATCCATTTCCAGAACAACTAGAATTAATTCCAAGTCCTAGCTTTGATGAGTTGTGGCTTCTGAAGTTTGGGGTAGAAGGTCTTTTGTGATTAGGCCTTGGTTTGTACTATATCAACAGAATAACTTTTCAACTATAACTACATTTTAAACCTTTCTACCACATCAAATCTGTATTAGGTATAAGTCAAAATTAGTTTAACCAGCTACTTGATTGAAGGGAGAAATTGTTTCATTTTTTTATTCTAGATTATGATTTTAAATTCCTGCTCATCTCAGGAGTTTTCTAGTTTAAACCTATATGGAAGATAGTAAACATGATTATAATTCTCTTTATAGGAGAACCTCCATTTCTACCAGAATCCTTTGACCGAATTCTTCTGGATGCACCCTGTAGTGGAATGGGACAGAGACCAAACATGGCCTGTACTTGGTCTGTGAAGGAAGTGGCATCATATCAGCCATTACAGCGAAAACTCTTCACTGCAGTATGTGGTGGTCTGTTTTTGTGAAACAAAGTTAACTTTTGCTACTTTGATGTTTAAACTACTGACAGCAATCTCCATAGCAGCGTTCATTACAATAGCCAAAAGGTGGGAACAACCCAAGAGTCTGTTGACAGATACATGGATAACAGAATGTGCTATATCCATACATGGAACATTATTCAGCCTTCAAAGGGAATGAGATTCTGATACAGGCACAACATGGGTGAACCTGGAAAACATTATGCTCAGTAATATGAACCAGACACAAAAGGAAAAATGCTTTAAGATTTTGCTTATATGAGGTAGCTGGGAAATTCACAGAGACAGGAAGAAGAATAGATACTACCAGGCATTGTGGGGCTGGGAGATTGAGGAGCTATTGTTTAATGGGTATAGACTTGCAGTTTGGGATAATGAAAAAGTTCTGGAGATGAATGGTGGTGATCATTGCCCAGCAATGTGACTGTACTGAATGTCATTATTGACTTAAAATGGCTAAAATGATAAATTTTATGTTATTTATATTTTACCACACACACACACACACACACACACACACACACACACACACACACACAACTGAGAGGACCTAGTTTTAAATATAGGAAGTTTTCATTTAAGTTGACTCACCTTTAAGATATACAGGCAATAGTAGAATTTCATCACTGAGATATTTAATAAATTTCAAATATTCTCTATCTGAAAAAAGTCACTGAGTTGTTAACTTGTAGTTACTAATTGATGTAAAGAATTAGATATAAAATAAATTACTCTTTTTTTTAAAAAAATAGAGTTATTGGCTAGTATGGTGGCTTGCGCCCATCATCTCAGCACTTTGGGAGGCTGAGGCGGGCTGATCACCTGAGGTCAGGAGTTCGAGACCAGCCTGGCCAACATGGCAAAACCCCGTCTCTACTAAAAATACAAAAAATTAGCTGGGTGTGGTTGTGGGCGCCTGTAGTCCCAGCTACTCGGGAGGTTGAGGCAGGAGAATTGCTTGAACTCGGGAGGCGAAGGTTGCAGTGAGCTGAAGTCATGCCACTGCACTCCAGCCTGGGCAACAGAGTAAGATTGTCTCAAAAAAAAAAAAAAAAGAGATTTTTTGGGGGTCGTCTTTAGAAGAAGGCCCAATAGGGAGCAAAACTCATTGATAAAAACAGGAAGAGACAGTGGCCAGCGTAGGATATAGGAGAACCATAAAAACTGTACAAATTTAACTTGTCTCCAGCACTTTCAGAAGCCCAGATAGAACATTTGAGGATTTCTCCTAGTCTTTCAAAAATGACTCAGTGGATTTCAGCGTGTATAGGCAGTGTTTGATCATAGATGAATTCATTATTTCCTCCCAGCCCTCCAAAATACAAGGCTAGAGCAACAATGGATGTTCTATAATGATTTAGTTTCTAAAGCTGCCTTTGAGTACATTCTGATTCAACTCTCCTGGTGTTTCCTTTCATATACAAAGGTAGCACTGGTTGTGTATTATTTAACTTCGTCTTTTTCTATGAAGTCTTCGAAGAACTCATCCTCAGAATTAAAACAGCAAGCAGCAAAAAGGAAACTTTAGTTACAGCCGAAACCCACTTTGACTTGAGAATAAAATTAGGATACTTCTGTAAAGGACTTGGATTTCTGTTCTTATTAGGTCACAGCAAAAATGGTATTTTAAAAGGCTACTAGGAGTAGATGAATGATCTCAATGAGAAGGAAAAGCTGACAGTATATCAGAGAGAACTAGAATATAGCAGGTTTGCCATTTGGCATGGAGAGAAATCGAGAATGTGGACTTGAGCCTTGTTGACTTGAGCCATGGCTCTTCCACCTAAGTGACTTTAGGTACATTGTTTTCTATATCTGAGTAGCAGGGATAACAGCTCTACCTATTAGGAATACCTCATTGGTGATAGTCATCTTACTTTGTGGTTGTTATAAGGATTTATTGAGAAAAATTCATATACAGTGTTTCACACAGTAACTGGCACATAGTAACAAAGTTTAAATTTTGATCAGCATACTCTGATTTAAAAAGCACAAGTATGTATACTCTATTTTTAAAGATTTCCTTTAAATTTTTAAAAATTAGGAGCTTGAAAAGCTGAACTTTAGGTATTTCAGACAAGTCCATTTTAGCACAATACCTTATCTCCTGATTAATTTATTCAACAAATACTCATAGATCTCCTGTATGTAAGACGCTATTCTAGATGTTGACGGTACAGCATTGAGAAAGTGGACAAACACTCCATGCCCTTATTCACGAGGTTTCCATTCTAACTAGGAAAGGAAATAAATAAATGAGTTTTTTAGTATATTAGAAGGCAATAATGCAATGGCCCTATGGAGCAAGCTAAAGGAACTGGGGATAGGAGTGTTGGATTGGAATAGTTGCAAATCTACAGAGTGCCCGGGAACGTGACATACATGCAAAGATAAGGAGTAAGCAGTGCAGGGAATTAAGAGAGCTTTCCCAACTGCTGCAAAGATTCTGAGGTGCCAGTGTGTCTTGTGTGTTCCAGAAACAGCAGGAGGCCAGTGTTGCCAAAGTCAAATGGGCCAGAGTAAGAGGTGTACAGGAGGAGGTCAGAGAGGCAACAAGAGACTTGTTTATGTCTGACCTCAAAGACCTCTGTAAGGACTTTGTCTTTGACTCTAAGTGATCATGTAAGGACTTTGACTGTAAGTGATCATGGAGGACATGTGAGGGGCTTGGGGCTGAGAAGAGACAAGCTTAAAAGGACTGCTTTGGCTGCTGTACTGAGACTAGATTGCAGGAGGGCAGGGAATAAAGCAGGTTGATGAAGTAGGAGGCGGTTGGAATAATCCAGGCAAAAGATAAAGAGGCTTGGACCACAATGATAGTGGAAGTGGTGAGAAGTGGCCAAATTCTGGCTAGAATGTGAAGGTAGAGCCAATAGGACTTGGTGATGTTTGGGGGAGTCAGAAAAAGAGGCATAAAGGAAAATCTGAGGTTTGGGACCTGAGATTCTGGAAAGATAGGAAAACTTCTGCAGTGGATTTCAGAGGGAAAGTAGGAGTTCATTTTGGGACATGTCAAGTTTGATAGTATTATAGAAATGTTGAGAAGGGCCAGACCCATGGCTCACGCCTGCAATCCCAGCACTTTGGGAGGCCAAGGTGGGAGGACTGCTTGAGCCCGGGAGTGTAAGACAAGACTGGGCAACAGTGAGACTTCATCTCTATTTAAAAAAATAAGAATAAAAAAGAAATGTTAAGAAGCCAACTGAACATTTAAGTAGGGAATTTAACAAGTTGATGTGGCCTAAAAATGTAAATTTGTGAGTTTTCAGCATAAAAAATGGTATCCAAAGGCATGACGGTGAATGATTATATTTGGGGAAGTCTTGGTCCATCTGGAGTATGACAGTTCCAAGATAATGAAATGCACCTAGTCTAGGCTGCAAGTGTTGCTCTTGCATACTCTAATTACAGAAGGAATCCTTGTCACATAGAACATCATTTTATTTATCCCAAACATTTGAAAGACATTATACCTTTTGCTTTGAAATTCATTCATATGTTTATCTGGTCTTGTGCTGTGTGTGGTCTGATCACAGTTTTCTTTAGGCGGTTCAGCTGCTGAAGCCAGAGGGTGTGCTGGTTTATAGCACGTGCACTATAACACTGGCCGAAAATGAAGAACAGGTTGCCTGGGCCCTGACAAAATTTCCTTGCCTTCAGCTTCAGCCCCAGGTAGGAGTAATTTCATTTTTCTCTGTGTAATAAGATAAATCACAGAAACTGAAGCACTGTGGTAATCAGGGTGTTAACGAAGAGATAAGTAAAACTTCCAAAGTGAACACTGTAATAAACAAGAATGCTTATCTAATTAAATCCACTTTAGACTGCCCATAATTTGCATGTCCTGACAAAGTTTTTTCTCATCTTTGTTCCTGCCATTGTGTTAAAATGGCACAGAGCTTGGGAGTGTTTTTGTTATGTGTTTATTCCCCTTGTAGCTATTCATGTTACTCGGCACCTTTTTTCTAAAAAGATTTTTTTCTCCTTCCCAGTCCTGTATTTTTCTGACATGGAAAATGTTGAGCATTTTCTCTCATGTCACATCAAAGCTCAAATGAGCTTTAATAACTGTGGGATATCAGAAGACCAGCTGAAAGGGAAAAAAGTATTTCTGGATTATTGCTTATTATATAAAATGTATAATATTTAAAAAGCTTTGCTATACTTTCTTTTACCTAACACAACTCTTTATGTTATGGTCTTTATTAGAAATGTATTTTTGATTCAATTTTTAGTCCAGGATATTTGAGATTAAGTTTAAATCTGTAATAATGCTCGCATACATTCAGATACATTGAGCATCTAACTTTAGTACCTTTCTATACAGAAATTAGGTAATGGGAATACATAAATAAAGACAATTCAGAGATGGTTTCTAGTCTCGTAAATTAAGATAATTACATTGTAGATGAAAGGAAGACTTCGGAATTCATTTGGAAATATACACACACTCAAAATATA
Source organism: Homo sapiens (assembly GCF_000001405.40). Taxonomy (NCBI): domain Eukaryota; kingdom Metazoa; phylum Chordata; class Mammalia; order Primates; family Hominidae; genus Homo; species Homo sapiens. The sequence continues at coordinate 18,547,322 of NC_000010.11, read as the reverse complement.
TACCTAAAAGGGATGGGAAGTTTTCCCCTGACCTCCATGGGATAATAAACGATCTGTTTTCTTAAGTATATGTCTGAAAACCTATCTTCATTAACATGCAGATGATTGTCTGTGATGGTGACTTAGGATTATAGATCTTCTTCAGTAGTTTGCAAGTATCATTCAATGCCTTATGATTCCTCTAAACTAATTGATACAGCCTTAAATTATGTTTCCTTTCTTATGTTTGTTTTTCTAGAAACTTTTCTCGCCCAACTGGTATGGGTCAGAGAGAGGTACCTTAGATGCCCAAAGACCACCTTTCAGTTTTGGAAACTGTTAAATAAAGCTGAATTTTTTCTGTTGCTTTCTTTTTTCTTTTTTCTTTTTTCTTTTTCTTTTTCTTCTTCCCCTCCCCGTCCCCACTCCCTTCCTTCTCTTTTCTTTTCTTTTCTTTCATTTTTTGTTTTTTGAGATGGAGTGTCACTCTGTCGCTCAGGCTGGATTGCCCAGGCACAATCTTGGCTCTCTGCAACCTCTGTCTCCCGGGCAATTCTCATGCCTCAGCCTCCCAAGTAACTGGGATTACAGGCATGCACCACCACACCTGGCTAATTTTTGTATTTTTGGTAGAGACAGGGTGTCACCTTGTTGGCCAGGCTGGTCTTGAACTCCTGACCTCAGGTAATCAGCCCGCCTCGGCCTCCCTAAGTGCTGGGATTATAGGTGTGAGCCACTGTGCCTGGCCTTTGCTGCTTTATTGATAATAATGTTCCATTTACTGAGTCCCTGCTATATGCCAGGTGTGATACCACCTTCGTTACTTAAGCCTTGTTTAATAGATGAGGAAATGTGGTTAGTTAACATTACCTAAAGTCACACAGCTAAAATGTGGTAGAGCTGCAATTTGAGTCCACTTGTTTCCAACTAGGAAGCTCAGGCCTTTGATAATGTCACAGTGTTTGATAAGCATGTAATAATAGGTATTTGTTCATCAGGTGACGCATAGTATTGCTTTCCTACTTTACTGTCTGGAAAGCAGCACGTATGTTCCACCAAAATGAAAGGCATTTACTCATTTTTCTATTTTTGGAAGATGTAGTCGTTACAGCCCAATTTGTCTTTTAACTTAAATTGTAGCAGTCATACTTGCTAATTACAGGATGTTCATCCATATTGATCCACTTTCTCCAAACAGGAACCGCAGATTGGAGGAGAAGGAATGAGGGGAGCTGGGCTCTCATGTGAACAGTTGAAACAGCTGCAGCGATTTGATCCATCGGCTGTGCCATTACCGGACACTGACATGGACTCTCTTAGAGAGGCCAGAAGAGAAGACATGTTGCGTCTGGCTAATAAGGACTCTATAGGTTTTTTTATTGCAAAATTTGTAAAATGCAAAAGCACATAGGAGAGGGATGGATGCTCAGAAATGAAAATTCCAAACATTTGCTGTCTGTGGTTTTTTTTTTTTTAACCAAAGTGTTGTCAGGCCAACTGAATGATGATGTGGTTGCTATGGAAACAGAAAAGGCTGCCAGCTGTTTTACCAGGGATCCAGAGACATAGAGGAAGTAGGGGGTGGTATGAGATTATATTTTCTGTTTTTAAAAGATTTTTTTTTTTTATGTATTTAGTAGAGTATAAAGAAAAGCAGATGCCTATAGATGTCTGGAGCATATTTTCATTTGTGATCTAATGTTTTAATTTGTAAAGTGTACAAGTCATTTTTAATGTTAAAAATTAGTGAATCTAACAAAAGGAATAAATTAGCAATATTTGATGTGGTTATGAAAAGTTGTTTTTGTTTCTAGGTTCCTAGTTTCTTAAGGATTCAGGGCATGGGAAGTAAAACATTGACTATGTGCCAATAATGGAGGTAAGTATTTTACCTGACTCTCTGTCTGCTTATTTAGTAAGTCAACCCCCTTTCAAATGAAGTCTGGACCTCCTCTGAATGATAGTGTGAAGTGATAGTCTAAAGACTATCGTAGTCTAAATGGTAGTCTATGTTCAATGTTTTTCATAATTTTAAACGAAAAAGTAAAGTTAGTATTTTCTTTACTTTGTAGATTTAGAAAATGAGATTATTCTACAATTTGGATAACTTATCATGTATTTGAAACATATCAGTTATTAGAAAATGCTTGGTGAGAAAGAAAAAACCAGCTCTGGCAGCTGGGAAGTGGCCTGACCTGACCCTTATAGCTGGGCCTTGGTGTTCTCCTGTTGAACGTAAGCAGTTTCACCTATCCCCAACATCAGACAAGGCAGCCGTACCTATCATAGATCCAGACAAAAAAAGACCACAATCAAGTCTGAATTCAGACAAAAAGCAGATCATCCTTCGAATTGCAAAAATCAAGCATCCCACTGTAGTGGCCAAAATAAGTGACTGCTTTTCAATTTAATTTTACTTTTTAAAGACAAGGTCTTGCTCTGCCACCCAGGCTGGAGTGCAGTGGCATGATTTCATAGCTCACTACAACCTCAAACTCCTGGGCTAAAGCAATCTTCCTGCCTCAGTCTCCCATGTAGCTAGGACAACACAGTTGTGTGCAACCATGCTTGGCTAATTTTTTTTTTTTTTTTTTTTTAAAGAGATGGGATCTTGCTTTGTTACCCAAGCTGGTCTTGAACTCCTGGCCTGAAGCAGTCCCGCTGCCTTGGCCTTCTAAAGCACTGGGATTACATATGTTAGCCATTGCACCCAGCCAGCTTTTAAAAAAAACATTACAGCCTTAGGATTTTGCCTTCCTATTGGCTTTTTAGATCAATCAGAATACTTACTTCCCAGCCATAGTTTTAAGGCTGTCTCATGGTGTTAAATCCATCATACTGTTTTGTTAACTTTCATTCAAATCACCCAAAAGTTATTAGGCCTTGGGCTTAAGAAATGGACAATTGGTTAATAGTTTGATTTCCGCCCGCCCCCCCGCCCCGCCCTCCACAGGTTTTCTTTAGGAATTTCTCATAACTATTTATTGTATCCATAAGGATTGCAAGGTCTCTTGGATCAGGTAAGACCTTTAGATTGCCTCTTCTTTAAAGGAGGCTTTCTTGAATACCTTTCCCTGAGGTTGGATAGGCACTGCTCCCCTTCTCTGTGCCCCTGGCTCCCACATCTAATGTTCTCCTGGCACTTACGACACTCTCATTCAAATTTTCTAGCCATGCACCTTAAGCCCCAGCCCCACACCTGGGAAACATCCTCCAGGCAGAGACCCTGTCCTGCCGTTTCTCTGTCACAGCTTCAGAGCAAACAGTCAATAGATGATTATTGTTTGAGAGAAAAATTATTTCAAGCAAACATGTGTCTCTCTTACATCCCTCATTCTGCCTTATATCCAGTAGCTGTCATTTGACTAAAGAGAAACACTTTTCCTGTGGGACTTATCTTTTTAGGGCTCAGCATACCTCTTTAAACTTTAAATGTCTTTTAAGAAACTCTACAAAAATCATTTTCTGTAATGCTTGCTGCACATCCTTATTTGCTAAGCTGGGATGAAAATGGCAGAGAATCAGCCTAGCAACAAACTTTTACTGGTGTAAATGTTTGATTAATACCAACAAATATCAAAATACAACCAATGCCAGTAAATAGAAGAAAAGTATTTACATATTGGAAACAGGACAAAGAATACTATTCAGAATTTTTCCTTGAACAGAGCTAATTTTCAGTGGGTTTCTTCCTTTCAAAAACTTAAGCAAACTGGAAAATCACATAAACTTATGGGACATAGCAGTATAAGAAAAAAATGCAATAAGGTGAAAAAATCAGGGAAATGTGAGGGAAAATTAATATATATTTTAACATTTAATATTAACATTTCTATGAAACAGAAGAAGTACTTAAGTTCAACAGTGAGTACATTTACTTTAAAACCCTGTGTCATGTTTTAAATAATGAAGCAAAGTACAAATAGTTAAAAGTACAGCGCAGCAGAAATTAAACTCTTGATCCAGAACTCATAACTGACCCAGATTATTCTGCTAGAGCTCACGTTGAATAAAATATTTTATCTACGTGGAGGTATCTTTTTTTTTAATCAGACATAATAGGAAGATTACTAAAGGAACATAAAGTATTTAGCATTGCCCCAAGAAAGATGCCCTGCAGCTGGGAAGTGTTGAATATTTAATATAGTCTCAACTACATGAATCATTTCTAACATGGCAATTAATACTACTACTAATAAACAGTGCAGAAGCCAGCTCTTTATTTGTTTTATATGAATTACTTTAAACCAGGTTTGTTAGACAGTTCAGTGTAGCTGACAGTGAATGTTTAACAGGAATGCATAGCAGACCATGTTAAAAATGTGGCATTGTCCCAAAGTACAACATGACTAAGACATCCTACATTTAGCAGCACCTTTTTGTAACAGTAACTTAAATGAGCAGTAGAGAAAGAGCATAGGAAAGACTGAAATGGATATGACCAAAAAAAAAAAAAAAAAAAACTATTAAATACATTTCCAGCATTTTCTAGGTTGACTACAAAAATGGCTCTACAACTGAGTAGGTTAAGGTTAAGCCTTTGTTGTGTGAAAAGACTGTAACTTTACATTCCGCAGGTCAGTAAATATCCCATTGCCCTTGAGATTATTTCCTCATTTACAGATTTACTACACAGTTTACACATATGTCCACTATACAGTTTTTCACATATAGCGGCTCTTATGTCAAATCCTTCAAGCTAGTTCTTTGAGGAATATTCTGATTTGCACTAATATGTTCTACAGTAAAGTGCAAGCTAAGAATCTAGATACAAAATAAAAAAGATGGAAACTCTCACCACTACTTTTTGAAAGGGATTAATGATAGCAGCAAGTAAGATAAATACTAGCTATGTTTCAAGAATTTAAATATTCTAAAATCATTAATTGGGATGAAATAATAAAGGATTGAACTAATAATTGTGAATCTCTTACCATGACAAAAGTTTTATCAGAAATATTTTATAAATTCAATTTTAATTAGAATATGGTTTCCTACCAATGTAAGAATTGTCAAGTTTATTATGACTACTGATTTTATACTCAGTAAATAAATTTATGTAAACAGTGTAGGGCTAATTAACGAACTGAGGGAAATTTTTTCATATATAAGCTGATAAAACATTATATATGTAACTAATTTTTATTTTCTTTTTTTAAACACCAGGTTGTCACCAGGCTGGAGTGCATTGGTACAGTCACGGTTCACTGCAGCCTCCACCTCCTGGGCTCAAGGGATCCTCCTATCTCAGCCTCCCAAGTAGCTGGGTCTACAGGTATACTCTACCACCCCAGCTTAATCATTTTTAATATTGCGTTTTCTTGGGGGTAAGGGAAATAAGGAGTTAAATGTAAAACAGTTTTACTTATAAAAGGCTAAGAATATTTGGTAAGAACTTGGAATAATCAAGGAAGCAAAACAAAGTAGATTTTATAATTTTGCTGGATAGTTTTTTTTGTTTTTTGTTTTTTTTTCTTTTTTGGAGATGGAGTCTCACTCTGTCACCCAGGCTGGAGTACAGTGGTGTGATCTTGGCTTACTGCAGGCTCCACCTCCTGGGTTCAAGCAATTCTCCTGCCTCAGCCTCCCAAGTAGCTGGGATTACAGGTGTGCACCACCACACCTGGCTAATTTTTTATCTTTTTAGTAGAGACGGGGTTTCGCCACGTTGGCCAGGCTGGTCTTGAACTCCTGACCTCAGGTGATCCACCCTCCTCAGCCTCCCAAATTGCTGGGATTACAGGCATGAGCCACTGCGCCCGGCTGATTTATTTTGTTAAATAAGTTAATGTGCAGATCTGAAGTTAGGTAATTATACACAGGCATTTTCCTGGGACAAACTTCAAGTGCCAGGTACTTGCACTCTTAATACTGTCTTACCATCCAGTTATAACTGGACAAAATATACACTTGAGACACGGAAAAGGTCTTAGCCTTAAACATGATGACATTGTAAGCTTCTTACAGCAGTGTAATTGAGGCATGGAGATAATGTCTTCAAGGTTCCCCTTCTGTGTACATGTCTTATGTAGGATAATATTCTTAACATTTTATTCACTTCAAGTCACCCCATTTTGCCCTGATTTCTTCTGAAGAACAGAAACTTTGGTTATAAGAAGCACTTCTGGGTTCTGACAGACAGTGAACCTGCTGGAGTCGGTGGTGGGGAGGAATGGTAGGTAACTGGGAGGTAAACAAACAACAGGAACAATAGGCAAGGTTAGAAATTGAAGTGGGAGAAGTTATAAAAATTTATTTTCCCACGAAATAATTCCACAAGCTGTGTAAACATTTCTTACTAAAACAAATACTCTAACACACAAAGATTGTACATTTCCAGTGAAACACTCACAGTAAAATTGCCTGTATTTTCACTCTCTAGGAGCAAAAACAAGGAGGCAGCAGATGAATGCTTTCCTAGTTACCTTTGGCAGCAAGCTTACTCACATTCCCTGACTGCTCAATGGGTTGTTAAAGCAACATATAGCACAATTAATTAAATACAGAGCGAGGTGGGCAGAATGCTCGATATCAGTCTCTAGTTTCTTCGTTAGTCTTCAGCATTCCAATTCATCTCAACCATTCAGTCACTCGGTGCACACTTTCTTACATACGGACACACACACGTGCATATAGCGAGTTCCGGCTCGTAGACTCCAGTGCAGTGACTAGAACAGACACTAGCTACTAAGAATGTGTCACAATCAGTGTGAACTGTATGGAGTAGAACAACCTCTGGAGTTTTATATTTACCATAATTTATGGTGGAAATTACAAACTTACTTACAAGGATGGTATAACATTCAGAATTCAAACCTTTTCAAGTCAAGCAATCACACATATTTACAGTATGTACACACTTTCTACTAGAATGAGGATAGGTGTCTAGACAATGTTATTACAAATTTCCTGAATGTGGGCATTTCTAGTCCCTGTAATTCATAAAGCAAATCTGCTGACTTGGCATTAAGACTCTAAAATAGTGTGATCAAACTGATATATATATATATTATATATATAATAAGAAGGTGTTTGTTTGCAGAAATAACATTTACAAACTGTCTATACAGTACACAGTACTAGTACATAGAAAATAGATTCTAACTTTATGATCCCCTTTGTGTAAGGCAAGACTGAATCTGTCCCCAAATTTAGTCAGCCAGAGGTACAAGCAAGAAACAGTGGTCCATGAATGAATATGCAAATCAGATGCCTGCGTATTAACGTATTAAAAATCTGGAGAAACAAGAAATTCCACTTTTTATCTGTGCTGATTCTGGCTTGTTGGATACATCAACTACATTTCTTAAAACACTAACATCACCTGGGTGGCAACAGATTTTGTTCAAGTGGCAGCTACCCAAAACAGTTTTTGAAGAGTCCAGTATGCAACCGGAGGACTGCAGCCATACCAGGCCAATTTATGTAGCACTTACAAAAGAAAAAGTATCTCAATACTCTATCCATGCTATTGCTATTCAAGCAACAGCAATAATACAAAATATTACAAGACAGATCACATATGATTGCAGTGTAGACCCCAAAGACTTTGTTTTGGGGATGCTGTTAGTTATACAAGACTTCAAAAAAAAAAAAAAAAAAACACAAACGGGCAAAACTCATTGGCGGATGTAAACATCCCTGTTCCACTCCCCAGCCTCATTCCGTTTTTTTGATATCACTTCTCCATCCTTTTCACAGTAGCGATCCTTGGATTTATGACGGCTGCGCTGCTTGTTGCACTCGTTGTGGTCCTGCTCTCGATCCACGTCCCGGGAACGGTGCCGGGACTCCCTGTGTCTGTGGTCACTGCTCCCGTGGGTCTCGTCTCTGTGGTTGTGGTCACGGTGTGAGGCATAGTGGTCCACGTGGTCATGGGAATAATCTTCCTTTGGCTCTACGTAGGCAGAGTCTCGACTCTCCTGGGTTTCCGAGTCAAATGTCTCTTGCCTGGAGAGGCCGCGACTTGTCCCACTGCGATGGTTGTGGTGTGGGGCTGAGGAGGAAGAGCGGTGCTGGGATTTCTTGACTGGTTCCACACTAGGTTCTTCTTCAGCTTGGGAAGCAGAACGGATAGGAGCGGAGCGATCAGTCCTCTGATCACCTTGAGAACCCTGGCAGCGAAAGGAGCACACCAGGCGTTAACCAAGGTCAGTGTGTAAAGAACATGTCCCAGAGCAAGTGCATTCAAGCAGAGTCCTTTTTAAGCATCCGAAAAGCTGAAATGAAGTCTAACCTAGCTTCATCCCTTTGGTAACATCCAGTGGCATTTATAAGGCTTTATACTATACTATATTAAATTGGACTTTTGTAAGTGCCTAGAACAGTGCCCATGGTAACTTTTTCCTTTAAAAAAAAAAAAGCAGCAGCAGGGAAAATGTTCTTTTATTTATTCTCCTGTGGCTCAAATACAGATGCAGGTCCCTGAGATTTTTCTATACAGCGGTGTAAACTTAACTACCTCTGCTTGACTGTATGTGAGAATATTAAAAATAGCAAATGCTTACCTGATACAGTGATACAGTATGGGACAGGCACTGTTCTGTAGACCCTTTGTATATAATAACTCATTAATACAACAGCCCTATAAGATCATCTCTTGAGATTATTAATTCCAGCAGCCTCTTGGACAGGTTGCCATTATTATTCCTGAGGTAAGAACAGTTAAGAAATTTGCCCCAGGTTATCCACCCCACAAGTGGTAAGAGGTGCAGCCAGGATTTGAATCTAGGTGATCCACTTCCACAGTCTATGCTACTGTTTAGAAAGTTTCGGTAGTCTGTGTATGTTCCCAATATATTCTGTTGATGGTGCTTTTCTTACAGGTACATACACAGCTCATGCTGGACTTGCTTTGAGTTAATATACTAGAACAAGCCCCAAGCAGGCTACTGGGCTTGGATCCTAGAGGTGTCACCATAGGCAACCTTTTTTCTATGAAGATTGTATATATAGATATATATAAAAACTCCCCTTACCTGTGAATTAGAGGCTAGGGTGGGGCTAAGAGGCAGACTTGAAGTGGCTAATGTACGGCTAAGGAGAGGGTTGGGGAGGCTACTGCTGGGAGGATGGGTGGCCTTCCAGTAGGCCTCCAGATAGTCGGCAAGGTGCTCACAGGCATCCTCAAGCTGGTTCTCATCCAAGATCACATCGAACAGCTCCTGCAGAGGCAGACATTCCAGACCACATTGATGCCAGCCCAGTTTTCACCCCCTTCCCACCTCCATAAGAGGAGGAAGGGGCTCATGAGCTGCACCCCTTTGTACTTGCTCCTGCTTCTATAAGTGCTGCTACTATCTCCCTTTTTATTTAGTTAGGAAGTGTCTGACTACCTCAAATCATTGTTGAGGGCACTGAATGCTTAACTAATAAATAATGGCCAGAAAGGTAACAGTTGTTAAGGACATGGCAACCCAGAAAAGTTGTCTATCAATCAGCAATGAAAAAGGCATAGATACTATGGTAGAAAAGAGATGTATATATATTTGAACAGAATAGAATAGAATAGGAAGAAGCCTGTTCTTGACATAAAGATTGTGATATCTTTTTTCTTTTTCTTTTTTTGAGACAGAGTCTTACTCTGTTACCCAGGCTGGAGTGCAGTGGCCTGATCTTGGTTCAGTGCAACCTTGGCCTCCCAGGTTCAAGTGATTTTCCTGCCTCAGCTTCTCAAGTAGCTGGGGTTACAGGTGCCTACCACCAAGCCCTGCTAATTTTTGTATTTTTAGTAGAGATGGGGTTTTGCCATGTTGGCCAGGCTGGTGTTGAACTCCTGGCCTCAAGTGATTCACCCGCCTCGGCCTCCCAAAGTGCTGGGATTACAGGTATGAGCCACCATGCCCGGCCCAAGATTATGAAATCTGAATTTAGAAATTAATAAGGTAAGATTAGGATGTGAAATTTTGACATTGTCCAAACTTCACAGTAGTTCAGTAGAGAAGAAAATAATGCCACTTTTCAAAAGATTTTTTAGTGTTTATTATAAATTTTAACATATATTAAGCAATCAAATATTTATAGACCCTGAAATGGCTATGCTTAAAAAGAAAAAAAAGCCTGGTGCAGTGGCTCATGCCTGTAATCCCAGCACTTTGGGAGGCCAAGGTGGATGGATCACTTGAGGTCGGGAGTTTGAGACCAGCCTGGGCAACATGGCAAAGCCCCGTCTCTACTAAGAATACAAAAATTAGCAGGGCATGGTGGCGTTTGCCTGTAGTCCTAGCTACTTGGAGGGCCGAGGTGGGAGGATTACTTGAGCCCGGGAGGCAGAGGTTGCAATAGTGAGCTGAGACACCACCACTGCACTCCTGCCTGGGCAACAAAGCAAGACCCTGCCTCCAAAACTAAACCTAGGAAAGCTCTAATACCTCAAGGCATTGCATGTAAAGCATAGACGACAAGTGAGAATCTAGGTAACTTATTACTTAGAAATTGATTTGAGACCATGTGAAAATAAATGTCTCAGACAGTTATTAAGAGCAGACAACTTGATCCCTATGATCAGAAATGAATAATATACCAACTCCAAATAGACTCATCATACAAGCCAAATTTTCGGAACCAGGATCTTGTGTTGGATATTAACAAAGTGAAGTTACTGCAGGATGTACGGAAGCTTTTGGTAAGCTATGATCATCGTTTGGATTACTTGTGCTCAAAACACATGATCATGGAAGGAGGGAGGACAGTTTACTTTGGAATGAATACCACTGTAAGTGATGAGGATTCTCTTCCCTGACAGGTGTTTGACTGTTTTTTTCAAAATATAATGCCAGTTCTGGCCAGGCATGGCAGCTCATGCTTGTAATCCTAGCACTTTGGAAGACCAAGGCAGGAGGATCACTTCAGGCCAGGAGTTCTAGACCAGCCTGGGCAACATAGCAAGACCCCGTCTCTACAGGGGGAAAAAAAAAAGTTAGCCGATCATGGTGGCATGCACCTATAGTCTCAGCTGCTTGGAAGGCTGAAGCAATAGGATCACTTGAGCCCGGGAGTTCAGGGCTGCAGTGAGCTAAGACCATACCACTGCACTCCCAACATGGGCAACAGAGCAAGACCTTGTCCCCCAAAAAAAAAAAAAAAAAAAAAAAAAAAAAAGGTCTGATCTCTGTAACTGGATTATGCTGTATATAGAGATAACTTACTGGAGGACACTGAGCCAGTTTATCAGCTGCTACCATCTGGACGTTGAGGTGTTTAGCTTGAGATTTCCCTCGAGATTTTATTAACCTTTGTAAAACCTGTAAAAGATAATGAGTTTTTAACAGAGTAATAACTACATCCAGGTAAAGTACAAGGTACATTATTGACTCCTTTCTCTGGGGCCTTTTTATATACAGCACAAGGGGCTTATAATAGATGGAGCTATAAGATTATCTGCAAAATTAACATGTTAACATAAATCACAGTTGCAAGCTTTAAGCACTCACATTTTTTCTATGCTAGCAGCTCTCAAACATTTTATCTCACAACCTCTTTAAAGAAGCTAAAATGGAAAACTATTAAAACATTTATTTAAAAATTCACAATAAATCTGATACATGTTAAAATATATATATATATATTTTTGAGATGTAGTCTCGCTCTGTTGCCCAGGCTGGAGTGCAGTGGTGCGATCTCGGCTCACTGCAAGCTCCACCTCCCAGGTTCACACCATTCTCCTGCCTCAGCCTCCCAAGTAGCTAGGACTACAGGCACCCGCCACCACGCCCGGCTAATTTTTTTGTATTTTTAGTAGAGACGGGGTTTCACTGTGTTAGCCAGGATGGTCTCGATCTCCTGACCTCATGATCCTCCCACCTCAGCCTAGTAGAGTGCTGGGATTACAGGTATGAGCCACTGCGCCCGGCCGAATTTTTTTTAATAAAAATAGCTACATTTTTACACATCTCTCTAATGGCTGGCTGGCTGGCTTCATAGAAGACAATTGCAGTCTCCTGTTTGCTTCTACAGTCAACCTGCTGCAATGTCATGTTTTGGTTGAAATACGTGAAGAAAATCCAACCTCCTACAGATTTGTAATTGAGAAAAGGAGAAACAATTTAGTATAGTCTTCTTTGATACTACACTAAAACTCAACAAATGGTGGTTCCTTAAAGACTATTTGTTATGTGGAATCTGAACCTGCAGTGCAATTTTCTTACTCCATGACATTCCATTGGTCTGTCTTGAAAATTAATGTTATTCATTGATCATACAAACAATAATGGTTCACTGACTTCAGATCTTCCAAATGTTGACATATTTCATTATACATTATTAAAACATCATATTCATTAATATTACCATTGATCTCAGAGAAAACTTTATTGGGAAGCTTGCAAGTTCTCAGAGATGCATACAAGTTTTCTAAAATTCTGATTGTTGTCTGAAAGCTTGAGTTTTATCATTGGCAACACATGCTGTTCTCCTTTAAGTGACAGGCTTATTTTGTCCAAGAAAATATCTGCTACACCAAGTCGGAATAAGCATAGCCTGTCAGTTGTTGTTTGAGATAAAAATGGTATTCTATGAAAAACATGGCTAGTTTAGTTCACAACTCAATCAAACCAGTGCTTGTCCTTACTTTTTGGTATACAGCAGGAGCTTTGTGTGTACTTTGTTTTAGTACACTGAATATTAAAAGTCAAGATTTAATAAAAGTAATAAACTTTACTACTTTATAAGGACATTAAGTGAAATTGGCTTTTTTTCCCCTCAAACTGCGAAAGCATGGTGGCGGTGAATACAGTAACTGCTGGTACTTTGATACCACAGTCTTGATTTATGTTTAGACGCCAGCAGTTTTACCCACCATTGCTTTTGCATCAGCCATGCAAATATCAAAACAGTGAAAATGGCAAATAATGTCTTAGTATTATCATGGAAGTAGTTTTGACTAAATGGACCCTCTAAAAGTGTCTCAACACTCTCCAGGGATCCATGGACCACACTTTGAGAACAGCTGTTCTAAGCCATGAAACTATATCAATTTAAAAATTCTTGACTATCATGTCTCCTCAAATTCTCTATACATCATAAAGGCTATTACAATAGCCTAATTATAGAAAGCAGAACATAAAATACATTTTAGGAAAGTTTGATTATAGAGCAAACAGTAGCAGTCCTACTTACCTTAGGAGAAGAAATCTTTACATATACTATAATAGGGGCCAAGGAGGTTTTACTGAGTTGAGCTGGATGATTAATTGTATCCGCGTCAAGGACCACCAACTGCAATGTTCTTGCAAGTTCAAAAATCCTTTCGATTTCACTCTGAACTTCCGCTGTAAAGGGCGAAACAATTCAGTTAAAGTGCAGTATTTTTAAGATAAAGTAAAATGGTATACTGTTTCTTCAACAGAAAGGTGAGTAGGTCAGCCATTATGTTAATGCTTACAGGCAATAGAATTGATAAAAATTTACAACAGTAATTTATCCTTTTGGAAAGGGCTGTTTCTCCACACATCATTAGGATTTAAGGAATTTTTCTGTCAACCGGCTACAGAATTTACTTTTAGTATAATACTTGGATTGTGGAAATTTTTAGCTCTCTGCTGACATTCTTTGTGCTTGCAGTCTATGAAATCATTTCATAAAACTGCTGTAAAATAAGAACCTTGACATATCTTCCGTGTGTTCATTGCAGACCACTTTGCATTAGCAACCATGACAGGTTTTCCTTTCAGTGCACGGGCTGATCTATGTTTACATGTCACCTGTATGCCGTCTAGATGTTTATTAACAAGATGAAATACAAAATAAAACAGCAAAGACGTGAATGGCACCAGAAAGAAACTTATCCAAAAACACACCTCATATTTTCCAACCAAAGTAGTCATGTTTTAAAAGGGCAGTTTTCAGAGGCAGCACTACAGAAATCTAAAGTATAAAATTTATAGAAACTTATCACAAAACATTAGAATATCTAGTTGAACTCCGAGAAAATGGCATTCAGTTCATCTGTTCTGTGATCTCCAAAGACTCAAAAACCGGACTGTCTGACCGAATTTTCTGCAATGAGGGAAATATTCTCTGTATGTGGTCCAGCGTGGCAGCAGCTAATGGGCTACTGAGCACTTGAACAGGCGTGTAAATTTTTAAAATTTAATAAATAGGCAGAAGCTACTATTACTAGGCAGCATAGGTCTATAAAGCATAGTACATAGCTTTCACTTCCCACTGCAGTCGTGGAGGTTGAATTCCATGAGACTTTTATGCTAGCAAATGTGGATTTACAATTACCTTTTAATTCCTCTTAGGCCGTTGGATTCTTGCCAGAAGCTTCCTGGAGATAATTTTAACTAGTACCTTATTGAAGAAAAGGTAACTCTCTGGTCACTAATCCATCTGCCTCACAATATGTTATGACTTGAGTCCTTTTTTTTTTACCTAGATATCTTTAAAAAATCAGGGCCCAAACTACATGAGATACTAGCTTTAAAATAACATTGGGCCACTGAATCCCAGTCAAGTTACAACCTAAATTAATATTTACTGTAAGCATTAAGAAATCTGATCACAAAGATTTTCATCTTTGTTTCATCTGTTAAGTGTTCAGACAGTCACAGCATCCCGTGTAACTCCTTGCTTTTAAAGGTTTGAGTAGTACAAGTTTAATATGTGGGTTTTTTTGTTTTTTTTGTTTGTTTGTTTTTTTGTTTTGTTTTTTTTTTTTTTTTTTTTGAGACAGAGTCTCTCTCTGTCTCCCAGGCTGGAGTGCAGTGGTGCAGTCTCGGCTCACCACAATCTCCTCCACCTCCTCAGTTCAAGTGATTCTCTCGCCTCAGCCTCCCACATAGCTGGAATTACCGGCATGTGCCACCAGGCCCAGCTAATGTTTTGTACTTTTAGTAGAGATGGCGTTTCACCATGTTGGCAAGGCTGGTCTCAAACTCCTGACCTCAAGTGATCTCCCGCCTTAGCCTCCCAAAGTGCTGGCATTACAGGCGTGAGCCACTGCGCCCAGCCCTAATATGTGCTGATTGTATAAAACCTGGATAGCCTTAAAATATATTACATATATGGATATTATTTATATTATGTCAATATATTAACATGTTTTAATATATACACATATATAAAGATATTTGTGGTAGCCTTACATACATACTTTACACTCCGTTAATTAAAGGGAAAGAGTTTTAAAATATTTTAAAGTGGACTTTCAGAATCCTGGTGCAACACTGTATTAGTAGATACAACCTTAAGAATCGATGACAAATTCTGATAATACTTTTGACTTCAAAGTAAAAATGATGCTTTTAAAAATGGATGTATCCATGCTAGGAATTTTCCTTTGACAGAGTATATCATGCTCAGAATTTACTCTAATAAAGAAATGTCAGAAACTTCCCCAATGTTCGTTTCTGAAACTGAAAGTCAATTTGATTCTTTCCAGTTGTCCTAGCTAATGAAAGAATGCAGCTCAGCATCTTGAAGACGGGGCAAGCCTTCCTCATCTCCCCACATCCCACAGTTTCTTATACCCACTGAATTAAACTGAAAAATGAACACCTTTCTATGCTTTATATCTCTAATATCTATAAACAACAACAGGAACAATGTTTCCTCTTAGATAAAGAAGAGAAGCTACAACACTGATCATTAGAGAAATGCAAATCAAACCACAATGGGATACCATCTCCCACCAGTTAGAATGGCTGTTATTAAAAAGTCAAAAAATAACAGATGCTGTTGAGGTTATGGAGAAAAAGGAACGCTTATACACTGTTGATGGGAGTGTAAATTAGTTAAACCATTGTGGAAGACAGTATGGTAATTCCTCAAAGACATAAAGATAGGAATACCATTTGACCCAGCAATCCCACTACTGGCTATATACCCAAAGAAATATAAATCATTCTATTATAAAGATACACGCATGTATATGTTCACTGCAGCACTATTCACAATAGCAAAGATGTGGAATCAACCTAAAGGCCCATCAGTGATGGAGTGGATAAAGAAAACAAGGTACATAGAGGGTTAATGACACACACACTGGGGCCTATCAGGGTGGGAGGAAGAAGAGAATCAGGAAAAAATAACTGGTGAGTACTAGTCTTAATACCTGGGTGATAGGAACTTAAAAGTTAAAAAACAAAAAACAGAAGTTAACTTATTTAGAAGGAGGTTTCTGTAATCAAACAAAAAATACTGTAATAACAGAGTAGAGATGGTTACTTTCATTGCGGCTAGTGTTGAGGGACACCTAAGTGGTCAGTTAGGAATTAATAAGACCTGGAGGTAGCTCTAGTATGAGTTATTTAATGCCATATGTGTAATTCCAATGCCATTTTCATAATTACTACACACAAAACTCTTAATTTTGACCAGTGCCTGCCTTATCTTGCAAAAAGAATCTGTATAAGCCTTCTCTAACTACCTTTCTCCCCAGGCTCAGTAAATTCTGCCTCTCTGTTCCCACTGCCACATATCAAAGTGGCTTGGGGGGCAGAAGTGAAGCGTCATCGCTTCATAGAGCTTTATGGCCAGTGGGTAACATATTGAACCTCTTAGAACCTAAGTATTCTAATCTGTATTACGGAAATGAGGACTAAATTAATCCACATGCAAAGCTTCCGTTATAGTTACTGCAGTACTTGGCCTACACTAAGTGCAGACAGTCCATGACTTACGATGGTTTGACTTAAAGATTTTTCAACTTTATAAGAGTGTGAAAGCAATATATGTACAGTGGGAACCGAACTTTGAGTCCCCATACAACCATTCTGTTTTTCACTTTTAGTATTCAATACATTACATGATATACTCTACACTTTATTATAAAATGGGTTTGGTGTTAGATGCAGTTGGTTTGCCCAACTGCATTTTTTTTTTTTTTTTGCATTTTTGTACTTCTTGCATTTTATTATAATAATATTACAGCCTCCTCCTTGGCTCACTCTTTATTCCTTGGTCTGCTGCTGCTTTTAGAATTCTCAACCACTGACCAGCCATCTCTGTCTGTCTATATATACAAGATTTTGTCCATGTCTTCCTGTAAAACAAACACTATGAGAAAGAGGACTTTGTGTCCTTCACTTTTGTGTCCCTGGGCACCAAAATAATGGCTGGCACATGGTTGGTATTCAAGTATTTGCTAAATGAATGAATGCCTCCAGTCTGTACATGGTCTCCTACCACCTTAAGAATAATGACATGGTTTGGCTGTGCCCACCGAAATCTCATCTTGAATTGTAGCTCCCATAATTCCCATGTGTCACAGGAGGGACCTGGTGGGGGGTAATTGAATCATGGGACTTGGTCTTTCCCATGTAGTTCTCCTGATAGTGAATGAGTCTCATGAGATCTAATGGTTTCATAAAGGGGAGTTCCCCTGCACATGCTCTCTCTTGCCTGCTGCCATGTAAGATGTGACTTTGCTCCTCCTTCACTGTCTACCATGATTGTGAGGCCTCACTAGCCATGTGGAACTGTGATTCCATTAAACCTCTTTACTTTACCCAGTCTTGGGTATGTCTTTATTAGCAGTAATTCTTGTGAGCGTCAAATGATGTGTGGAAAGAGTTTTAAGTGTGATAGATAAGGACATAAAAAAGAAATTGCTATAAGCGAAACACATGATCACATTTTTTCCTGAGAACAGACTAATAGAAATAAGCTCCAACCTTTTCATGTCTTATGCCTGCCTCTCTCTGTCATGTCATCTCCCATGTCCTTCTTTTTAAAACAATATATTTTAGCTTAAATGAAGCACCTATGTTTTTCAGAAGCCTGTTGTGGCTTTCACTGTCTCGAATCACTGTCACCCTCTCCACTCCTTTCCCTTTTTTCTTGGCTAAATCCTGTCATCTTCAAGTCTCAGCTCAGGATCAGCTCCCTGGAAAAGCCTTTCCCTGTGCCTCCTGCAGCAACAGCTCTTTGGCAGCCAGTTCATGGCTCGACCACTTTGCTCATCACCCTCTATCTCAAAGGGCTCTTCACTGATTCGCCTTATGGCTACACCCAGCTCCTTGAGGGAAGGGGCTTCATCAGTTTCTTTTTTTATTCATGGGCTTCCACATGATATTTGGTATCTAGTGTATGCTCAATGAAATACATAGACTGGAAAATTCATTTAAAAACAATGTATAATCAGTAGTTGTAAAAAAAATCTTGGCAATCTAAGGAAATCTGTTATGTAATTGATTCCACTGATGAGTCTAAAAAATTACTTGACTTTGTTAATTCAGTTTAATTTATGAAATAAGCATTTTATAATAATTCTTGGCCAGGCACAGTGGCTCATACCTATAGTCCTGGCACTTCAGGAGGCCAAGGCAGGATTGCCCAAGCCTGGGAATTGGAGACCAGCGTGGGCAACATAGTGAGACTCCCTCTCTACAAAAAATTAGCCCAATGTAGTGGCATGTGCCTGTAGTCCCAGATACTCAGGAGGCTGAGGTGGGAGGTTTGATTGAGCCCATGAGGTCAAGGTGCAGTGAGCCATGATCCACACCACTGTACTCCAGCCTGGGTAACAGAGTGCGACCCTCTCTCAAAAAAGTCAAAATAAAAAGTAATTCTTGTGAGCATCAAATGATGTGTGGAAAGAGTTTTAACTGTGACAGATGATAAGGACATAAAAAGGAATTGCTATAAGCAAAACACATGATTACATTTTTTCCTCAAATATATTTCTAAACCTGTTACTGAAGTTTTGCCAACGAAGGGTTGTTAGGTGAGAAACAAAACTGAGTTCTATAATGTATCATGCTCATTGCTAACATATAAAGCTTATTATTTATAATAGTTTTTCTGTTATTTATATAATCATACTTCAGAGTAAACGAAGAACTTCTATGTTAGAAACCAGCCTCTCAGAGGATTTGTATATCTAACCTATAAACAGAGAAAAATTAAGCTCAAAGATCTGACACAACTCTCAGAAAGTTTACTTTATAAAAACAGAAACCTAACCATCCAGTAAGCAACATGTGTAACAGTGATTAACCTAAAACTCCAAGCACATACCAAAAAGATTAAATAGCAGCTGAAGGGTCTCAGTGTGATCAATTCAGTATACGTTAATAAGCAGTATCCACATACCATCTCTGTAAACACAATAACTCCCTACACTGTTTTTACAAATAAAACAAACATATTGATATCTATCAATAAATATAGCCAGGAATTGACTTCATCTTTTACTAATTTCCACACCCACAAATTACACTCTCCTGAGAATGATTTCATTATTGATATATAACTGGAATTAAGGAATATTTAGGATAATAATGGATATCATTTATTGAGCACATATCATGTTTAATCCTTGCAATGATTCTATGAGGTAGTTATTTTATTTCTTTTTTAGGATGAGGAAATGGAGGCTTCAAAAGGTTAATAAACTTGCTCATGGTAACACTGATGCAAAGCCAGGAGATCTTAGAGTCTGCAGACACCAAAGCTCATGTTAGTGAAAACAAACCACAACCAAAACATTAATGCTGACAGCCTGTGGAATTCTTAACTTGAAACTATCATAACAAATCCTTCCACACCATGAAATCAGTAAGACCATAGCAACAGCGACTGGCAGCACACACCTGTTTTTTCTATACTCTGTGACACATGGAATTATCATCTTGTTAGGTCTTCTCATCATCAACATCGGGAGAGGAGAGTTTAAAAAGCTTAAGCTCATTGCACAGACTTACCTAAGCTTGACCTTGTGTTGGATCTTTCTATTATTGCGTGCTTACTGGGATTGTTTAATACCGAGCGTTTGGCAAGCGAGATGTCAGCGGTGACCCTTGTGATGGATATCCTGTTGGAGGAAAAAGTCACAGAAGACCTTAAGGTTATTGGTCTAATCAAAGGGGATAGAAGTGTATGCCCCAAATTCATCTAAGTATGAAATATATATAGCAACCATATTTTCAAACCATATGTGTTAGGATACTTACTTATTCATTTTTTTTCTTTTTACTTATTCATTTTTATCTTGCACCTGCCTTACTTTGTTTTTTGTTTGTTTTGAGACAGAGTCTCGCCCAGGCTGCCCAGGCTGCAATGCAGTGGTGCGTTCTCGGCTCACTGCAATCTCCACCTTTCAGGTTCAAGTGATTCTCCTGCCTCAGCCTCTGGAGTAGCTGGGACTACAGGTGTGTGCCACCACACCCGGCTAATTTTTGTATTTTCAGTACAGAGGGGGTTTCACTATGGAAGCTGGTCTTGAATTCCTGGCCTCAAGTGATCCGCCTCCCTCGGCCTTCCAAAGTGCTGGGATTATAGGTGTGAGCCACCGCGCCCGGCCCTATCCTGCACCTGCCTTACGTTGCACTTACTTGTTGCTTACAAGTGTCAGATAAGTACTGAGCACTTTATTTGAATTACTAAATGATCCAAAAAGCTCTAGGAGAAACGTTTACTATTATCCCACTGTTGCTGATGAAAAATGAGACTCACAGAGAGATTTTTTATCCAAGGGTATGTATGTAACTAAGTGGGAGAGCTGGGATTTGAACCCAGACTCCTGACCCTATATTCCTAGTCTCTGTGCCATAGTTCATTGCTGTGATAGGCATGAAAAATAAATAAGAACCAGTCTTCCCTCAGATAGCTAATGGTCTAGTGGCAGAGATAAATAATAAAGGAAAATAATTAAAGATGATGATTGTTGTGGAAAGAACATACAGGGTATTATGAGAGACAATATTGAATTGGGAGTATCATTTTAGATAAGGTAGAAATGAGAGCAACAAAATTTGGGAACTGGAAATAGCAAATGACTTAGACTGCAGAAAGCTGAATATTCAAGTCAGCAGTAGGAAAAAGCTGTGAAGCAAAATTGAAGGCTCACAATATTTCTAAAGAAGGTAGAGAATGAAGTTAGGGCGAAAAGGAAAAGTTTGGTTCAAAAGTCTGTTTCAGTTACAGCCCTCCACTGCCCCCTCACAATATCAAATAGCCAGGTGACAGTTCTTTTCCTGTGTGGTACAAGACCCTACATTTGTTATCTTGCAGGCAATACAAGAGGGCCTCTGACCAGGGGACCCTAGACAGAACAGGAGCAGGGAATACTGGATGGAAAAGAAAGGATTCTGAATGTTGAGTCTTCAGCCTTTCTTCTCATTGTACAGTTTTGGTAGCCAGGCTTATATTTATATCCCCAGGGGTCAGAATGGAAGATTCTTCTCTGGGGAATCTGACTGCCAAATTGTAAGGACCCAAAGATAATGATATTGGAGGTTTCCTGTGTAAATTATCTAGCAAGATTGCCATACACAGAAACACAAAGTTGACAAGCTCCGCCTATGAGCACAGAACCTCTGATTAATTATTTTATGCCTTATTTTAAAATTTGAGCACAGGACAGTTTGTCAGGCATCTTCAGAAAACCTCATGAGAGAGCAAAACAAACAGAAAAATCAATTATGACAATTATTCACAGTTAAAAGCTAAAAGATGGTTTTATCTATGAGACTAGAACAAATTTCTATTTAAAGACTTAGAATAAGAGCTTTTGGAAGTAACATGATAATAGAAATAGAAAAAAAGCAAAAGAAAGGTTAAAAGAAATGTAACATTTCCAAAGGGTAAAACAAAAAAGAGTTGGAAGATAGGAGAAGAAAAGTAAGAAAAGTAGACATAACCCAAGAGGTTCAAATTCCAAATTACAGGAGTTCAGAAAAAGATAATAAAGAAGACAGAGGAAAGAAAATAAAGAATTAATTCCAGAATTAAGGATCTGATTTTCTGAATTGAAAGGGTCCGGCACACGGGTTGAAATACCCACACCAAGACATATTTTTATGAATTTCATAACACTGGGGACAAAGAGAAACCCATAAGCTTTCAGAGGAAAAAGACAGGTCCCAAAGGGTCTAGAATCAAAGCACTAGAATGCTTTGTACTTCTCAAAGCAACAATGGAAGCCACAAGGTAATGAAGCAAAAAGCCTTCAAAATTTGGAGGGAAAACTATTTCAATCAGAATTCCATAAGCATTTAAACTAGCAATTAAACAGAAAGGTTTGTAAACATTCAGGCTATTGAAAAAAACATGTATATACCCTTCCTAGGGAAATGAGAAGGTTTTTGACTAAAATGACAGTAAAGCTTGAAAGAAATCAAGGGATCTGGGAAACAGGAGCTTCAACCCAAAACAAAGGTGAAAGGAATCCCCAAGCATATAACACGGAATGTTCCAGAATGACACCCAGCACAGAAAGAAAGATCTACACTGCAACAGGCTAGAATGTCCCAGAGGGATTCAAATAGACAAATTAATTTTGGCTGGCTCCATATTTAATATTTATTGAAACTATGTAAATAATAGTCAATGAACTATGTCATATAATGTGTTTTTTTTTTTTTTTTTTTTAGACAGCATCTCACTGTCACCCAGGCTGGAGTGCAAGGGTGTAGTAATCATAGCTCACTGCAGCCTCAACCTCCCAGGCTCAAGTGATCCCCCTGGCTCAGCCTCCCAAGTAGCTGGGACTACAGGTGCATGCCACCACACCTAGCTAATTTTTTTTTTTTTTTTTTAGTAGAAACAGGGCCTCATTATGTTGCCCAGGCTGGTCTGAAACTTCTGAGCTCAAGCAGTCCTCCTCCCTTAGCCTCCTAAAGTGCTGGGATTACAGGTGTGAACTGCTGCACCCAGCCTACTATACTTTTTCTTGTGTATTTTCCTCGTGGTTTCCATGAGATAAACAACTTTTTATTTGCTCAATTTTTTTTTTTTTTTTTTTTTAAGATAGAGTCTTGCTCTGTCACCCAGGCTAGAATGCAATGGTGTGATCTTGGCTTACTGCAATCTCCGCCTCCTGGGTTCAGGCGCTTCTCCTGCCTCAGCCTCCTGAGTAGCTGGGATTACAGGTGCCCACCATTGTGCCCAGCTAATTTTTGTACTTTTAGTAGAAACAGGTATCACCATGTTGGCCAGGCTGGTCTCAAACTCCTGGCCTCAAGTGATCTGCCTGCCTCAGCCTCCCAAAGTGCTGGGATTACAGGTGACAGCCACTGTGCTCAGCCTCAGGATTACTGATTTCTAGTAAGACTGTCCTACAGAAGATTCTGGCAATGGTATATTTATCCCTGTAGCAATTCAGTATGCATTCCAAACACTTCAGGGCTGATTGCTGACGTTTTGAAAGTCACTGAAGGAAACAAAACAAAACAAAAAAACAAAAAAAAAAAACCGTGAATTTATCCCAGGTAGCTTTCCTTCTTGTTCTCAACTTCCTTGTTAATTTACCTGTCACCATCCTACAAGGTGAATCTGAAGATTGCTTTGTTTACATGACACAGTTGGTTACTGTGAATCCAGTTTTGAATGGGCTACTTTATTGCACACAACAGGAGGAGGAGGAGGATGATTTATTTCTTCTTTGATCTGACACACTGACACTACTTAACCAGAATGTGATTCTGACAACCCCCTAGGGCTGCTGCAAATGAATTTAAGTGGGTTTCAGAAAAGAAAAAGGAATTCTTGACTACCTAGAACCTTTCGCATAACTAACATTTCCTTTCATATTTTCTCCTCTTGGGCTTAAACGTTTTTAAAAAATAAACTTAGCTTATTTAATAGATGATTAAGGAATAATTCATTTTTCCCTTTTAGAATGTCATATGTATATACACACCTGATACTTTTGTTGAATTTCCATCCTCTATTGCTGTCTTGCCTTGCCAAAAGCAAAGACAGTCAATAATTCAGTTACTCTAGATGTCTTGCCATGGGTAAAAATGTTAAATTTGTACACAGCTTTTAAATTCTGCCTTATGGACTCGTTTCTTCCTCTGAGGACTGTTAACTGGGGAGAACAGGGCTAGAATATAGAACCCCAGCTCTGTAAGTCAAGATGAGCCAAGGCAGGTCTATTAATTAAACCATATGAAAGTTACTTCTGGCTAGAAATAACAGATACTTTAAGATATTTTGTTTATCTGTTTCTTAAATAAAACCAATCTGGGTGGCTGATACACTCGAACATGGGTCCAAAATCCACCCTCTCTGGCTGGAATGTGTCTTCCAAATTCAAAACTTACTCAGGTTTAAGTACAAGTAGTAATCCAGGAAATTCCATCCCATTTCCCCATCTTTGGCATTTAGGAAAGGGCAGTGGGTTGACTCAGGCATGGAAAACACAGTGCCTTTGTTAGCAGAATTTTTTTTAGTGTTCAGGCTCATGTTGACAATTCCAAATTGTGATAAATGACAGAGCCAAGGATAAAGAAACAAGCTAAATGGAGCAGAGTAGAGCTATGCCTTTTATACTTGGCCAGTGCCTAGTAGCCTTGGTCCAAGCTAAAGGGTCTATTTCCTGTCACAAACTGAAAAATATTTCTTAAAGATATGGAAAATTAAAAAAATCTAATTAGGAATATTTGGTTAGAAGACCTTGATTATAAAGTCTTTTCATACCTTGAAACTTATAATAGTTTTTGTTTTCCTCATTCTCTCTCCTTTCAGTTCTTTGCCTGATCACTTTTTTTTTTTTTTTTTTTTTTTTTTTTTTTTTTTTGAGACAGAGTCTCACTCTGTTTCCCAGGCTGGAGGGCAGTGGCACGATCTCGGCTCACTGCAACGTCTGCCTCCCGGGTTCAAGCAATTCTCCTGCCTCAGCTTTTCGAGTAGCTGGGACTGCAGGCACCCGCCAACATGCCCAGCTAATTTTCTTATCTTTAGTAGAGACGAGGTTTCACCATGTTGGCGAAGCCGGTCTCGAACACTTGACCTCATTATCCACCCGCCTCGGCCTCCCAAAGTGCTGGGATTACAGGCAGGAGCCACCAAGCCCAGCCTGCTTGATCACTTACTAAAAAGACTTGTCCTCCTATAAAACTTTCCTTCCTACCCTTGCCTCCCCTGCCAAAAGTCAATATAAATTAGAAATGGTTGTAGTAGTAGGTGTGGTCTAGAAAGAAAGTACTATAGTAAGAAATCTAAAAGAATCCTGAAACCAACAAATACTATCTATTGCAGCAGTCCCCAACCTTTTTGGCACCAGGGACCAGTTTCATTAAAGACAACTTTTCCGTGGACCGGTTTGGTAGGAGTGGGGAGATGGTTTTGAGATGATTCAGGCACATTACATTTATTGTGTACTTTCTTTCTATTATTATTACACTGGAATATATAATGAAGTGATTATACAACTCACCATAATGTAGAATCAGTGGGATCCCTGAGCTTGTTTTCCTGCAACTAGATGGTCCTTTATGGGGTTGATGGGAGACAGTGAAAGAACACCAGGCATTAGACTGTCCTAAGGAGCATGTAACCTAGATCCCTCGCATGCAGAGTTCACAGTAGAGTTTGTGCTCCTATGAGAATCTAATGCCGCTGCTGATCTGACAAGAGGCTGAGCTCAGGCAATAATGTGTGAGTGATGAGGAGTGACTGTAAATACAGATGAAGCTTTGCACACTCCCCTGCCACTCACCGTCTGCTGTGTGGCCCCTAGCAGGCCATGGACCAGTACTGATCTGTGACCCGGGGATTTGGGACTCCTGATCTATTGTAGTTGCATTGTTAGGATGGGAGGAGGAAAGGAATGTGGAGAAGAGAAGCACTGCATTTATCTGGTTAAAAATACAGAAATATACACTAGCCCTGTATCTTCCAGGTCCCCTGTAATAACCTACTCTTAAACTCTGAGGTTTCCATTTTGGACTCTAGTCATGTCTTTGATGCTTCAGGAGCTGGCTTAACATTCAATGATGGCACCCATTAATTATTTGATTCAAGACTGCCTTTCAATAGACTTTAAGCCCCACAAAGCCAAGGCCCTTGTCTATTTTTGCTCCTCACAATGCCTGGCACATAGAATATACTCAATAAATACTTACTGAGGCAAGTTGAATAGTGACCGGGGGAAGAGGAGGAGAAAGAAAGGATTAAGTCCAAGCCCATTGGCGTGACACACTAGATATGACCCTTGGATTTGTTACCAGTCACTCCTTGCCCATGTCCTTTAAGATGTGGGTGTGAGTTGCCTTACACATAATGCTGTGTCATACCTCAAAGCCTTCACACACTATATACCATCTGCTGAACATACCCTTCTCTTCCCTGT
Organism: Homo sapiens; assembly: GCF_000001405.40. Classification (NCBI taxonomy): domain Eukaryota; kingdom Metazoa; phylum Chordata; class Mammalia; order Primates; family Hominidae; genus Homo; species Homo sapiens. Next base: position 18,521,323 of record NC_000010.11, on the reverse strand, counting down.
AATCCATTTGGTCAAACGTTAGGCACCATTTAAAAATTCTTCCAGGTGTGGATGTCCTGAAGTTGGTGTTAATTACGCCTCCCTTTATGCTACCTGCACCTTGTGCATGCATATAACCAAGTTGCCCTTTTACTTATATGCAGTGTTACTGCTACAGGTTTCAATTTATGGTTTCCATGAGAGCTGTTCATAGGCAGAGACTGGCTTCACCATCTCCGCATTTCTCTAGCAGAGAGTATGCAGCAGACGTTCATTCAAAATTCATCTGGCCACTGCTCATGTTGAGTACTGCTCCAGGCACTGAGAATACAACAGTTCACAAAACATTCTCAAACCCTGCCCTCATGGAGTTTATCGTCTAATTATGGGAGAATGACAATAAACAAAAATAGTACTGGAAATACATAAAAGAGCACTAGAAAACAGAGGGAAAGGAGAGACACAGAACAAATGTGTGCATGTGTATGTGTGCATACATGTACACACGTATACCAAGGAGAATATCTGAGGGAAAAGTGTTCCTAGCAGAAGGAACTGCAAAGTGCCAAAGCCCTGAGGTGATTGTGTAATCTGTCTGGAACACTCAAAGAACAGCAAGGGAGTAAGTACGGCAGGGTGAGAATGAGCGAGGGAAGAGCAGCAAGAGAAAATCTAGGTAAGGACGTGTGGAAGAATAGACCATAGGAGGTCATGTAGGCCACTGTAGGACTTTGGTTTCCATTCAGAGGAAAAAAAGAAGTCACTGGATGGTTTTGAGTAAAGGAGTGGTGGGCACTAGCTCACATCTTAACAGGGTCATGCAGCAGCTAACCTGAGCACAGGCTTTAAGGGAACAACCACAGAAGCAAGGAGACAAGGTGGGAGGCTGTTGCACCAATCCAGGGAAGAGATGAAGATGTCTCAGACCAAAATGGTGGCAGAGGATGTGTGAGAAGGGCTTCGATTCTGAATATATTTTGAAGATAAAGACAACAGCATTTGCATGTGAAATATAAGAGAGAAAGAACAGTCAAGGAAAATGATCTGGGCTGAAGGGTCTCGGGACTGAAAGACGAAGAAGCTATTAATTGAGATAGGGAAGACCATGGGAGGAGTAAGTTTTGGGGGAGGTTACATTTGAAAAGTCCATTAGACATCTTAGTAGTGATAATGAATAGGCAATTGTATACATGGGTCTAGAATTTAGAGGAAAGACTGGCAAAGGAATGGAATTTAAAAATCTGATGCTGAATGAAATCACTAAAGAAATGTAGGTAAAAGACATCATAGAGCTTAGCCCTGGGCTGTCCAAGATTTCCAGTTGATGAGGAAGTATCAGCAAAGGAGACAAAGGAGCAGTCAGTGTGATAGAAGGAAAACCAGAAAAGTGTGGTTCCAGAAACCAAGCAAAGTATTTCAAAGAGGATGGAATAATCCACCATGTCAACTACTGCTCATGGTCAAGTAAGATTAGGGCTGAAAATTTATCCCTGGATTTAGCAATGTGAAGGTCATGGGTGATCTTGACATGACTAGTTTAGCTGAGTGGTGTGGGTGAAAACATAACTGGGGTAGGCTGAAGAAAGTGGAAGGAAAGCCAGTACACTCAATTCTTTCAAGGAATCTTCCTGTAAAGAAAAGAAAAAAAAATGAGACACCTAGAGCAATATGAGGTCAATGTGATAGGAATTAACATTTTTACATGGTGATGGAGTTTCCATTAGAACAGGAAATACTCATGAGGAGAGAGCAAAGGATGATTACGGCTCTGTATGGATACTTCTAGCAGAGAGGGGATGGGGAATGAGATCTAGTGCCCACATGGTGGGTTGGCCCTTGCTGGGAACATAGTCATTGGAGATAAAGCAGAGCATGCAGGCAAACATGCAACTCCACAGGCGGGGTTGTAGAAATGCCTGGATGTTCTCTGTTTGCCTCTATTTTCTCAATGACACGGAAGCAAGTTCACTGGGGGAGCGTGAGATGAGAAGGGGTTATCAGAGGATTAAGGAGGGGGAGATGGCACAGAAGTCTTTTAGAAGAGTGGAAAAGTGAATGGAAGAGGGATATTTAGTGCGATGCCTGGGCAGCAATAGAGGGCCAGTTGACCATGAATTGAGGGTGAGACTGGCCAGTGGTGTCCTGCCCAAGGTCAGCTTATGGATGTAGGTACAGGAACTAGACATCAGGGGTTAAAGATGTACCAAGCAAATATGATAAATATTGATTGAATCAGATTAAATTGAGTGAAACTTGTTTCCTGTCATCATATAGACATCAGAGGGCCATTTTCTCTTGGAATCACACGCATGTCCCACCAGCGTTTTGCCATCTTTAAGACAAAATCCACAAAACCCAGTATGCTGAAATACTCACCGCCCTTCAAATCTGTGTTTTAAAAAATCAAACAGCGCTTTTTGCATCATATCTGTGACCTGCAATTGAGCAAGCAATAAATTAAGATATGACCAAAAAAAATTACTAACGATGATAAAACAATTTTACTTCTCTTAGGAATGCTTGAAAACCTGAGCTTTGCATCTGGAAAGAGTGGCAATATGAGGTTGCCGCATTTTTCTGCTTCTGAGTTCTGATGCAATGACAATTAAACTGAACTTATCATGATGTTTTAGTGACAAATAACATTGCAAGTGGTTTCAGTCGGTCTCCATTTGACACTATTTCCTGGACTGAGTACACTGCAGCTAGCAGAAATCTTCAAAGCAACAGCCAGGTAAACAAAACAGAAAAAGGACGAAGCAGTGTATACCAGTTTGCAGAACAACAGGCTTTGCTGCTGTGAGCTCTCTAAGCTCTAAAGTTGGCTCCTTAAGCTGTAAAATTCAGAGAGAGGGTCGGGAGTAGGAGGCAGCATCACAAAGAAGTTCAGCATGCAAGTTAAGCTTCCTGTGGAAGGCTGCTACCCACCTCGTAGCCCTTCAGAGAAGGGCCCACTAGGACCACTGGTCGCATGGAAGGTACCACATCATACGGAGGAGTGTGCTCTGTCTGCAGAGAGAGGAGAGGCTTTTAGACGTTTCACAGGCAGGTAGAACATAAATATTTTGTGTATAAGGTACTCTTTCTGAACTCCATAATATGAGGCACTGGCTTTCCAGACATTTTATTTTCCCCACTTGCCTCTTTTCTACATAAACCCAGTCAAAGATTGGTGGGTTCATTTTCCTGAAGTTTCAAGTTACTGTTGTCTACAGTCTTCTTGCTCATCTCAAGAAATGCTACAGACCTATTCGTTCCTAAAGCAAGAGATGCTGCTTTTGAACAAAAACTAGTTGACAGAACAAAGAGAAACATGCCTCATGCAAGATAGGTGCTTTAGGCTTGACTAGAAGTTAATATTGCTTTTCGGCTGCATTTGAATTTTCTAAAGAGTTGTAGTGATTAGACCTAACATGGTTAATTACAGAGGAAAGAAAGATTGCATTACCTTTGCATCTTAGGTTTTTGTCTTACCTGTGTAAAACCTCATTTCAAAATATTATAACTCTCACTACCAATACTTTTTACCTAATCTCAAAATATTGTAACTCTCACTACTGTCAAAATTCTATATTATTGTGAGAGTTTAAATGAACATGCATGCTTATTTTAGTAAACAGTAATCATGATCCCTGCTCACAGCTTAGTGATTAATGCTATTGAATTTTTTGGTTTCTATACCTTGGTACTTCAAAGGTAAGGTTTATGTGTCTTCGAGGGAAGGTGATTAATGTATAATAATATATTCAACCATGCTATTGTGGTCTCAAAAGGTTCATTATCAATGTGCATATCTAATATGATTCTCAAAAGTAGTTTTCTGTCAGATAACTAATGACATCTTTCTGCAGTAAATTATTTCTTTTTAATAAGAGGGGAGGAGCTAAATTTTGTAGCAATTTCTAAAACTGTCAACACTTTTCAGGTTAATTGCTTCAAATAAAATGGTAAAATAACATCTTTCCAAAAATTAGGTAACAGCAAATTGGTTTATATTAAAATTGGCTCTTTTGATAGCATAAAATGCTAAATTGACCCAAAAATGACTTTTTAAAAAAATGCATAAGAGTGATATGGCCTTAGACACTGCGATAAGCAAATCATTGCTATATGAATCTTTCTGGCTAAGGAGTGTCAAAAAATATAACTTGAGAATCACACACACCAACAGAAAAATGTTCTGTAAATGATTTTAAGAATTCAGTACACTGATGTGCAGATATGAATGTCATTTTTGCATCTGCCCGTCACTCAAGAACATTTTATTGTTGCTTAAAATTGCCCATTACAAACTTTTCTGGCTTCATTTGAATTCACATTGCCTCAGGGGAGAATTAAAAAGCATTTCAAATTCAAAAGCTTCCATCTGAGATTTTACCCGTAGTCACAGACGATATAATCAGAGGGAAGAAAAATATTACCATGACTGTGCTGTCAAATTTCACTGCCTAAAATTTCACCTAGCATTCAGAATTAATTTTAATTGACACAATCAAGGTAGAATACAGTTTTGAACAGAAAAAAAAAAAACAAGACAAACATAATACAGTGACAGCACACGTACCACACAAGCACCACTCTAAAAGCAACCTAAAACATAGAAAACGATCTTCTCATTGAATCTCAGGCTGTTGTTTTGTTTTTGAATTCTACATTGATGTTAACCACATTATCAATAACATAAGAAGAATGAATACCAGTGCCGAAGGCATCATAAGCATATTTCTTAAACTATTTCATTTATACCACCTGGGATCATACTGAAAACGTTTAGAAGCCAAGTCCTGATAACTATGCGGTGTAAGAACACCTTTTCCACCGTTGAAATTATGAATGTAAATTTCCTGCATTTTAGTAACAGCTACCAAGAAATTTTATCTCAAGACTTTAATTCTGAAGTGGCCCAGTGTTTGATAGGTCTTTGGTTCCTTCGATCTGTAACTGCCAACTAGCAAAGGGTCACCCGTTGCTGGTAATCAATCAGCTTCTTAATCAATAGGGTAGCTACAGAAATTACCTTATTTGATGGAATATTGGTGCTTTGTGCCCTATGAAGAATGACGCCATCATTTTTATCTACTCTTCCCTGTTAACCCCATTTAGCTTGATTTTTTTTTTCTTTTTTTTGAGACAGAGTTATCTAGCTCTGTTGCCCAGGCCGGAGTGCAGTGGCATGGTCTCGGCTCACTGCAATCTCCGCCTTCCGGGTTTAAGCAATTCTTCTGCCACAGCCTCCCAAGTAGCTGGGATTACAGGTGCCTGCCACCATGCCAGGCTAATTTTTTGTATTTTTAGCAGAGATGAGGTTTCACCATGTTGGCCAGGCTGGTCTCAAAACTCCTGACCACAGGTGATGCACCTGCCTCAGCCTCCTAAAGGGCTGGGATTACAGGTGTGAGCCATTGCGCCCTGCCTGCTCAAATTATTTAGTGAAAAAATTGTGATAAAAGTTTTTAAAGTTTTAGAATTTAAAGGTAAGCAAACTTCACAAACCTATCTTGACAAACAGGGTTTTAGCTCACATTCCTGCTCCGTCAAGGCCCAAATGTCTTAGCGATGCCGATTTTCTAAGCTTCTGAATGATAGACACTGTTAGTCACTTGGCTGCAAGCTTTAGCTGTAACAAGAAGATCGGACCCCAGAAATGGGCCCACTGTTGTGGGTGAACATCAAGCTGAGGCTATGTTAACACAAAAATCCAAGTGTTGCAATTTTTGCCCAGAGTGCTGAAGTTTTCCCTTATTAAAATAATCATAATTGATTCAAAAAAAGCCAACTTTACAGTTCTGTATCTGACACCTCATTAATGACTTGAGTTCCTCCACAAACCAAAATACATGTTTGCAGAGGAAAAGTGTTCATTATGTGGAGAGTTTGGGGGCAGAGGATAGACAGATTTGACATCACATCTGCGTGTGAGAATATATCCATGGTTTTGCCAGACTTGGCGACATTAGTATGATTCTAAAAGACAGCATGGTAGCTGTGGAAACTGATGGGTAAAAGAGGGGAAAAAAAGGGAAATTTGGGGGGAGGTTAGTGGTCCTTAAAAAATAATGCTTTAAAGCTACAAAATGGGTGAGGAAAAGGCTTTGTCTGAAGTAAGGAGAGCTCAGGAATACCCTATAGTTTCCATTTAGGGGACAAGGAGCCTCGCTGTGTAGCATCTTGGATGGCCAATGGCAAAGGCTCTACGCATGACCACTGGCTGCACTGTCCAAAGGGTGAGATGGTAAAATCTGACTGATGGAGAAGGCAAGAACATCGGGAGAATATTTATATATGACAATAGGAAAAACTCACAGTAAACCGCCAAAACAAGCCTGCAGTTTTCCACTGGTCTTGTTCATCTGCAGATTTTGCACCTAGTGGATTAGAAGTTTAAATACTGACTAAATTAAAACTTGAATACTTTTTTTTTTAGTACAAGCTATGTATCTGGATATCATAAGTCAGAATTTAATAACTGCTTTAATATGTTTGATCATAAGTTAAATTTCTGGATAAAAGAAAGAGATAGAATAAGCATGCACAATTTAGGTGCATTATGTGGAGCTGTCAGTGTTTGACATCCCTGAATGTTGAAACAAATTCCCTTGGTGGTAGATATTATTCCATCAAAAAGGATAAGTACTGTAATGGTGTTTTAACAGGTCACTCCCTGAATTTAGTTGGTTTGAAATGCATGAACTCAATTAGCTGTTGATAGGTTCTTTGCTTGGGACAGAAATGATTGTATTTAATACAACTGTGGGAATTAATGCTAATGATGCCAGTGGCAGGATAAACACAGCTTATGTCAATGTAAACTTACCGATTTCTGCTTCTGCTTAGCTACAGCAGCATGGAAAAGAAACAAATAACAGAGCATGCACGTTATTGGCTTATCAAAGGACGCAGACAGTCAACAGGACTAGAAATGTGACGCAGTGCAGTTGAGCAGGTGGACAATGGGAGCTTGGAAGTTAATGTTACCTTCTTAAAGAAGGGCATTCTTTTCTCTTTGGAGTGGGGTGACGTTACACTGTTTGCACTGGGTTTAGGGGAGCGGTGGTTTGCTGGAATATCATTTTCTTCTGCATCTAAGCCAGTAGCATCTATGTCTATAGCTATATACAGACAATTCAAAAATCAGGTGGACAGGAGAGGAAAAATAGGTTATAAAGAAAATAAAATGAAAGCAAATAAAACTAACCATAGTAAAAAAAACTATCATGAGTGCTCAACACAGTACGCAAGAAAATTAAATTTAAAGGTAAGGCACATTAAGAATGCAAGGTAATCAAATCTAATGAAACTGAAAGATACACTTATAATCTGTTTGCTTGAATGAATCAGTTTCATGCTAGACGTCTTGAATATTTTCAGAGAAACATTTTAAATCTGTAGTTTCAAATATAATGTTGATTTTCTCTGTATCAACTGTATAAAAGTGCAGTACAGAACATTTGACTTCATTACAATATCTTAAACCAGCTTTGAGATAACAAACAACTACTTTGAAAACCTTTATTATAGGTGAATGCAAAAGTAATTGCGGTTTTTGCACTGTTGGAATTTGCCATTTGATATTGGAATACATTCTTAAATAAATGTGGTTATGTTATATATCATTTTAATGCGCATTTCTCGCTTTATGCGTTTTTGCTAATGACTTATTACTTGCTGTTTATGTTTATTTTAGACTATGGAAATGATGTCAGACAAAAAGCGAATTTGAGTGACTTTCTTATTCGAGTTCAAAATGGGTCGTAAAGCAGTGGAGACAACTTGCAATATCAACAATGCATTTGGCCCAGGAACTGCTAATGAACGTACAGTGCGGTGGTGGTTCACGAAGCTTTGCAAAGGAGACGAGGGACTTGAAGATGAGGAGCATAGTGGCTGACCATTGGAAGTTGACAGCGACTACTCAAGAACAATAATCAAAGCTGATTCTCTTACAACTACACGAGAAGTTGCTGAAGAATTCAACATTGACCATTCTATGGTCTTTCTACATTTGAAGCAAATCGGAAAGGTGAAAAAACTCAATAAGTAGGTGCCTCATGAGCCAAGCAAAAATAAATTGTTGTTTGGAAGCATCTTCTCTTATTCTGTGCAACAACAATGAACCATTTCTCAGTCGGATTGTGACGTGGGACGAAAATTGGATTTTATATGACAACCACTGACAACCAGCTCAGCTGTTGGACTGAGAAGCTCCAAAGCCAAACTTGCACCAAAAAAAAAAAAAAAAAAAAGGTTATGGTCACTGTTTGGTGGGCTGCTGCCGGTGTGATCCACTATAGCTTTCTGAATCCCAGCGAAAACATCACATCTGAGAAGTATGCTCAGCAGATCGATGAGATGCAGCGAAAACTGCAACACCTGCAGCCGGCGTCGGTCAACAAAAAGGGCCCAGTTCTTCTCCGTGACAACGCCTGGCTGCACATCACACAACCGGCGCTTCAAAAGTTGAATGAATTGGGCTACGAAGTTTTGCCTCATCCATCATATTCACATGACCTCTTGCCAACCAACTACCATTTCTTCAAGCATCTTGACAACTTTTTGCAGAGAAAATTCTTCCACAACCAGCAGGATGCAGAAAGTGCTTTTCAAGAGTTTGCCGAATCCCAAAGCATGGAGTTTTATGCTACAGGAATAAACACACTTATTTCTCCTTGGCAAAAATGTGTTGATTGTAGTGTTTCCTATTTTGATTAATAAAGATGTATTTAGGCCTAGTTATCATTTAAAATCCATGGTCCGAAACCGCAATTACATTTGCACCAACAATACAATGTGCAAAAAAAGATTTTTCTTTTTGCAGATTTTGTGTAAAAATAAGGACAGTGTGAAAAGTTTCCCTAAAATTGCAACAGACATTTGAGAAAAAGAGAGAATGGAAAATTCTCAATCCAGTCAATGCAAAGGAGTCATACACAAGGCCAATGATTCAGGGAGGGCTCCAGGAAGGACAGGATTAAGATGATTTTAGGCTGATGAAGACTAATGGGAAAACACTGGGTCCCAAGATATCCGAGTGAAATCTGTCTAATAAAATGACATTGGAAGACTTCTGGTGACTTATGCAAAGCCACTGGGTTTAACAAAAGAGGCAGAGTGGAAGGGCACGAGGACCCAAGAGGATATGCCACTGGTTTCCTCATCTGTAAAATGAAAGGTTTAGCTTTGTTGCTTGACATGATTTACTTTTCCCATTGTTCCACCTGAAAATATAGTACTTAAAAAGTGTTACAAGAAAAAAAGATGCATAATCTCACTTCAAATTTTACAAAATCCTTCCACATGCAATTGAAATAGCTACAGAATTTTATCAACTGCAGAGTCAGAGATGGAAATAAAGATCAACTTCAAGGCTCTTATTTTTAAGATTAAAAAACTCAAAATTTAAGGGACTTGTTCTTGGCAAAAACTTGGCAGTCAGGATTCAGACCTACTCCTCCTGCGTAAGTGAGTCTATAACCCTCCGTATACCACAGTGCCCACCTAAATGAGTCTGTAACCGTCCCTATACCACACTGCCCATCCAGGCGAAGTCCCTTCTCAATCTGGGTGCCCTCTTTCAGTTCCCTTCACATCCTCAATGGGGTCATGTCCTTGATGTCAGGAGTCAGGATGACATCATAGAGCTGGACTAGCTAGAAAATTATTCTACGGTTAAGAATCAGTCAAGGAGAAGAAAAAAAATTTACTCACTGCAGGAAAGCATCATATTATACATGTTAGCTCTCTAACAAAAACCACAGTACATTTAGATTGAAGGAAGGAACAAATTACCAGTTTGAAATAACAGACAACTTGGTGTTACAATACAGCTACCATTCCCTGGGATACACAAGCTGAACTGCTCACAGCAGCTTCTTCTAACCTTTTCAAAGGATGGAAGATCATCTGACAGGCATTACATTATTTTTCAGTTTTGAAGTTGTTATGAATATTAAATGAAGCAGCCTTTTGAAAACTAGGCTCTCTTATTTAATTATTCCTTTTCATTTGGTGAGGTAGGAAACCTGTGATGGAGTGAATACCTGCCATTGTTTGTACACTATTACAAATAATCAGCTATTGCTTGCATAATGCAGGAGGTATGATTTTCTATCAAAAAAAAGGTAATAATGGAATTAATTCAGTCCTAATTACGTAGACCTAATATAGTAAGTATGTCTTCCTCTTTGCCCCATCTATGCATACTGATGTGCTAAAAGGTTTAACATGTGGTATGTAGAGAAAACATAAAATGTGCCTAGGGCTTTATCCAGTGCTGACTTTTATACCATCCTATAGCTAATCCTTTGCTCATATAGGAAAGTTTCCTTATGGGGCTTATTGAATGGCATAAGCCAGGCAAGAGTCTCAGAAAACTCTTCAGAAATGTTTTTCCTTGAATCTCAACTCAAGCAGCATGTTGTCAGCGCTTTCCTGGATATGAAGGACAAAATCTGCGTCAGGAATTCATTATTCCTACAATACATGTTAACCAAAATCAAGAGTTTCCTTGCTGGTGGTAAATTCCCACAGGTTTTATCTTTCTCATCTTTTATTGGGCTCATAAAGACCACATTCAAGGGATAGTACCCTTTGAGGGCTCTCCTAAAATGAAGATAACCAGTTGGATGTCAGAATTTACAGGACCCTTGGACAGTCAAGTTCATGAGTTGAATTTTGTGATTTGCCCATTGAATCTAGCCTGCTGTGATCATCAGTTGTATTTTTGTTTTTTAAAATAAGAGTGAGGCTGGGCATGGTGGCTCATGCCTGTAATCCCAGCAGTTTGGGAAGCCATGGTGGGTGGATCACTTGAGGTCAGGAATTCGAGGCCAACCTGGCCAACATGGTAAAATCCTGTCTCTACTAACAATACAAAGATTAGCCAGGTGTGGTGGCCGGTGCCTGTAATCCCAGCTACTTGGGACGCTGAGGTGGGAGAATCACTTGAACCTGGGAGATGGAGGCTTCAGTGAGCTGAGATTGTGCCACTGCACTCCAGCCTGGGTGACAGTGAGACTCCATCTCAAAAAAAAACAAAGAAAGAGTGGAAACGTATACATCTTTGGCTGCAACGTTGCCCAGGTGTTTGGCTTTCCACACACATAGCCTGAGTCAGGTTTGAAATTTACCTGTATCTGGACATGAGGGCTGGATATCCCAAATTGAGAACTTTCTATAATGTACTAGTTCTGACATTTGGTTAACTCAGGTCTAAAAACATCTGAGTTCATTTTGAAATACGTAGAATTCTGAAACATGTGGTCACTTTCAAAACATATTAAAGAAACTTACCAAGGCAGTTAAGAAGCATTTTCAAATCTGTTCAGCTACATGTATTTTATTAGACTCAGATGGTTCTCCTTTTAATGAGAAATGTTACTCTTTTTAAATTTCATACTTATATTTCCATGCTTTAGCAAACATTAGTATTTACTTGGAAAGAACTGCTTTCATATATTTGAAAAGTCTCATTCTTCCTCACTAGCATGCATATATTATTATTAGTGATAGAGAGCCTTGGGAACATTTTTTCTGTTTGTTTGTTTATTTATTTATTTGAGACAGGGTCTCCCTCTGTGGCCCAGGCTGGAGTGCAGTGACATAATCATGGCTCAGTGCAGCCTCAACCTCCTGGACTCGAGTGAACCTCCTACCTCAGCCTCCCAAGTAGCTGGGACTATAGGTGCACACCACCATACCCAGCTAATTTTTTAGAAACGGGGTCTCACTTACATTGTCCAGGCTGGTCTTGAACTCCTGGGCTCAAGTGATCCTCCTGCCTCAGCCTCCCAAAGTGCTGGGATTACAGGCGTGACCATGGCACCGAGAACAATTTTTTGAAATTTAAGTTTTGGTGTTAAAGGTTTGGGTCAAGTTAAGCAGAGCTTGGGCTTGACACATATGTACACACGTGTGTGTGGGTGCGATGTATGTATTCTGCAACTGGCTATGACACCAATGCCCAGATGTCAAGTGGGAAATTTTCCAAGTTCTTGACAGCATCCAAGCATATATACTTTAGGCAGATACTTATATTCTTTGGTCTGGCAATGAGTGAGGAGAATAATAGATGAGACCTTTGGAAACGATGAAAATGATCATTACAGACCCATCCACACTTGATAGTTGGAGCAGTTGTGCCTGGAGGTGGATTGGGAGAACTTCTCTTTCGAGCTTTCTGAAGTTTTCCTTTAAATCAGTTGAGCTATTGATATAAAAATTGTCTCAGAGTCCTAATATGCTTATTATACATTTTGTAGTTGGTTATAGCTCCAAGTGACTCAGTCACCAGAAAAGTCACTTGAAAGTTGGTGTATCTCTACAAAACCTTGGTGAACATTTAAATCACCTTTTTAAATATTACACTCTTCATGGAACTTTACTTTTAGTAATGTCAAACATCTGCCTACAAAATGGAATGTTATTTTACATGTATACTAACTTGTTCTTCAAAATGCAGCACCTCCTTTCACTATACAGACGGTCCTTGACATACACTGGTTCAACTTAAGATTGTGCAAGTTTATTACAAATTTTTCAGGACATAACCTTATCATAAGTCAAGGTCTGAACTTTACGATGGTTTGACGTCAGACTTTTTACTGGGTCTGTCCACGTGTTAAGTACATTTTGAGTTACCATATTTTCTATTTATGATGGGTTTAGTGAAGTGTAACTCTATCATAAGTTGGGGAGCATCTGTGTTGCCAAAACCACTGGAGGGCTACAATATGGCTGGAGGGAATGGAAGAATTTTTCTGGTATATAGAAAGAAGTGAGGCTGACATTTGCAGGCAGAACTGCTGCTTTATCGCAAGGTGACATAGTCTTTTTCCACTTTAAGAGCCTAGTAGCAGTCCCTAGAAATCACTGAAATCATCTTTGAGATATATAAGAGTGTAAGGTTTATATAGGAATCCCTGCAACTTCACACATTTGAGAAGGAACAGGATAGGCCTCCCTTCCTCTGTGGATTCAGGGGCTCCGTAATTATCAAGGGAAGGTATAAGTTTCACATAATACCTACAGGGCCTTTCATTTTCATTTCATGCATACTATTTTACTTAATTTTGAGCATCTTAGAATTGCTTGCTTCAAGTTATAAGTAGATAGTTTTTGAAATTAATTTGCTTCCTAAAGCAATTCATTTATTGTGCTCAGATTTTGCTCACTTGAAAGTCCTATATTCTGTGTAGAACTTGGAATTCTATATAAACAGAACAATGGTTTGAATTGCAAAAAAAGCCCATGATCAGTATCTTAGTTTGCCAATGGCTGGGCATGGTGGCTCATGCCTGTCATCCCAACAGTTTGGGAGGCTGAGGAGGAGGATCCCTTGAACCCAGGAGTTTCAAGAACAGCCTGGGCAACATAGTGAAACCCCTTCTCTTAAAAAAAAAAAATCCTATAGTTTTTGCTAAGAAGTCCTTGATTGGTCTCTAAAGGCCACCACCATTCAGGAATGAAGCTGATTATTAGTAATAGAGAAATCCTGTCCTTAAAGCACATCAGTCACTGTGTGACTAGTTCTTTGATTTCTGCATAGTTGTACAACTCTCTGTTTTTTATCTCTTCCCATTTCCAGCTTTCTAGAAATCACACACAGTATCATTTTGCTGAAACACCCTGGCAGTCAACCTTTACAGTCTTACTCTGATTCCCAATAACAATTCTCTTAGCAAACTAAGATACTGATCATGTGCTTTTTTTTGCAATTCAAATCATTAGTCTCCTGTCTATATAGAATTCCATGTTCTACACAGAATAGGAGAGTTCCCAGATTTAGCAAATATAAATGCAGTTAAATTTGAATTTAAAACAATGTTTTAGCATAAGTATGTTCCATACATTTTTAGTGTAAGTATGCCCCATGCAATATGTACTTAAACTAGTAAATTATTGTTTATCTGAAATTCAAATTTAAGTAGGTGTGCTTTATTTTATCCAGCAACCATTAGGATGAACCCACTGCTTTGGAAAGAAAACAGTAGTTACTGTTCCCACACACATTTTCATCTTTTTTCTATACTTCTTGTCTGTGTCTTCCACAGAACTTTTCTGGTAGAGCCCACAACAGGCCAATCCTCTATCTTCACTTTACCCTCTGTTCCTTACCTTTCTAAAGTTTTTATCCTTCTGTTTAATGTTAAGGTTATATCTCACATTGTGCTATGGTTGTTGGCAAGTATTCACCCATTTACTGCCCATGACAAGCACCATCGCAGGAACTAGGGATTAAAGGTTAATATGGCTGGGTGCAGTGGCTTACATCTGTAAACCCAGCACTTTGGGAGCCTAAGGCAGGTGGATCGCTTGAACTCAGGAGTTCGAGACCAGCCTGGGCAACATGGTGAAACTCCATCTCTACAAAAAATACAAAAATTAGCCGGGCATGGTGGTGTGCACCTGTAGTCCCAGCTACTTGGGAAGCGGAGGTGGGGGGATCACTTGAGCCCTGGAGGCAGAGGCGCAGTGAGCTGCGATCATGCCACTGCACTCCAGCGTGGGCAATAGAGTGAGACTCTGTCTCAAAAAAATAAATAAATAAATAAATAAATACATTAATCACTTTGATCATCTACAGCAATGTAAACACTTTGACATACTTCTTTTTCCAGCCAGAAAAAAACATTTCCCCATATTGTTTGTAACTCCAAAAGGGCATGCTCACTTCTGATTCCTTTTAACATCTGTAGGGTTAACATAGTGATTCAGTGTATACGTAAATTCACAAAACTGGATAGAGCTGGGGAAAGCATGAAATGCAGTATGTATTATTCAGCATTTATCACCTACTTACCAGATGATGGAGGTGTTGATTTTCTGGAACTAGGTACTATGTCACCCAAACTGGATGATGAATTTCCTCCTGATTTACTGGAGTAAAGCAAAAATTTCTATTAAATCTGACACTTATTTCGCATCCTCAAACATTTATATTATTCAGTAAACATAATTCATTATGGTTTTATTCAACTTTAAATTTATCTTTCATTTAAGGAGGAAAACAATATTTCCCAGTGGAGATTCCTGGAGTACTTGAAATAGCCACATGATGGTCTCTGATTTCAAATTCAAGGTTTAATTTTAAAAGGACCTGAGAGAATGGAAGAGAACCAGTGTAATTTCTGCAGCCCCCAAGTTACTTGCCCAGATCACAGACAGTGAAATAGCACAGATTTATTTTGCTTTTTATTTTAGAGACCCTCAGAGGCGATGCACAGAACCTTAAGGCTAACACCCAAGATTAATATTTCCTTCTTGTTTGGTTTCAGCTCCTCTGTTTTAGGCTTATTTTATTAATAGTACACTAAGATTGAAAGCACTCACGCTTTCATGAGCAATCTATCAAAGAACAACAGAGCCATATGAAAACTTGCCAACCACTAACGGACACACGAAGAAACATGACTAAACAGAATATGATATGATGTAGCCATCAGATAGTACCCAGAATACTTCTCAAGCGTGACTCACGTGGAGAATGAAACGTGGTTAATTTAGGAATAATTTGAAGATCATACATTTCCGAACTACCAAATTTGAAAGTTTGATATGATATACTGCAGTGTCTCAGAAACATTGGAGTTAATATTAGAACAACAGCATTTGTGTTTTTCACCAGCCTACTAGCATGCTAAATAACGTGTTACCGAATGACCCCTCTCTCAGATGAAGATAAGAAGAACATTTTACATTTGGGCAAAATGATCTCACTGCCTAATGTTTATTATTATGGCCGAGCCAGGGTCTAGTTGAAAGAATTTGCTACAGTGTTTATGCATCAAAGGGCAATATTTACTTACGTAAATATTAATATGGAAATAAAAGTTTTATTAAAGTATCAGTAACAGGCTGAATGTTATTGCTACTGTTCTAGCATTTTAATGCATAAACATCAAAAACTTTATTAGGCAATTAGCAGGAGGGCTGTATATCTTTTTAAGGTTCTTAAGAGATACTCAAATACATTTAATAAGGGCATCAGACAGTATGTGAAATTAATGACAAGTGATATCTATAGAAGCAGTTTCTGGCAGTTATACAAGGACCTATTACCAAGACCAAAACATTTTTTTCCCCAGAAGTTTTTTTTTTTTTTCTGAAGTATTAAGTCTAATTTCAGTTTAAGTTCATGGGTTTTATATTCCCTTTGAATTTTAGTAACAGCCAAAATATTATTTATGTAAAATTGTGACAAATGCTGCAAATGGTGACAATGACCAGGATGCAGATTTGTCCTTGACTTTTAATTCTATTAAAATGCCAAGTTCTTGAACGGTACCCCAATTCCATTTCCATTGAGTTCTGTCAATTTTTATAATTTCTGTATCAGAGTTTTTAAAGACTGCCGGATTCTGGTTATGTCCTCAAAACAAAACTACATTTAAAATGTTAGGAGAGGCCGGGCACGGTGGCTCACGCCTGTAATCCCAACACTCTGGTAGGCCAAGGTGGGTGGATCACCTAAGGTTGGGAGTTTGAGACCAGCCTGGCCAACACAGTGAAACCCTGTCTCTACTAAAAATACAAAAATTAGCTGGGCGTGGTGGTGCATGCCTGTAGTCCCAGCTACTTGGGAGGCTGAAGCAGGAGAATCGCTTGAACCGGGGAGGCGGAGGTTGCAGTGAGTCGAGACTGCGCCACTGCACTCCAGCCTGGGTGACAGAGCGAGGCTCTGTCTCACACACACGCACACACACACACAAAAGGAGAGAAATGTAAAAACCTATGAAAGCAAGTAAAAGTATTTTCACATACTTAGGCAAAATCTTGGGCCAAAATAAAATGAAGAAAATCAAAGGAAAAGATATATGGCTGTAAGAAAAGGTAATCTAGTTCTCTGGAGTAAGTTCTGAGATGTTACATTCCCTCAAATACGGATAACTCAGAGTCCTAAGGGAAAAAAATGCAAGAGCAAAACAACATATCTAATAAAGTAAATAATAACAGATGGCAATAACCATCTGTCCTGGGCTTGCTGTGCCAGGCAAGACCTGGCTCCTTAATCTGCAGTGCAGCATGGAAGTCTGTACAGCGTGGAGGTCAGGCTACCATCTTGGTTCTGACGCTTACTAGCTCTGCGACCTCGATCAAGTTCCCTAACTTCTCTTAACCTGTTTTCTCATCTGTGACCTGTAAGATCTAATACCCACTGCTCCCACAGGTCCTTACAAAGATGAGTGGAGCACTAATGTTAGCCTAGGCAAGCCCATTTGGGAGACACAGGAGACTACATTTCTCAAACAATTTTGGGAAAGATTTCTACTCCCTTTGAAGTTGTTCTCATTTCTCAGTTTCTATATGAAGAGGCAAAGAAAGACACACAAGCCTGCCTCTGCAAAAATCCATCCCAAATTTTCCAAAATGTATTCTACAAAACACTATTCCTAAGACATGAGCCAGGGGAGTTTTTATGAGAAAGCAATTTTAGTAAATACTATACTTAAAAAAATTCCCATTCCACCAGAGATTCACAGTGTACATGATGACATTAAAAGGCTATAAAAAAATCCTGAAGTAACTTTCTATTACCTAGAACTATCCTTAATTTATTTCATCTTGGAACCCCTTTCTCAAGTCATTTGACAAGAAAATTCTGAAAAATGCTGAATTGTCCTAACTAAAAACAAAACACCCCCAGCTGGGATAACTTCAAACCTCAACAAACGATATACTACCTAGTTGACAGGAGCAATGTCTACACCCTATTAAAACAAAATGTTTCCATATAAGGTGGTTCTTTTTTTTGTTTGTTTTTTCAGACAGAGTTTCACTGACGCCCAAGTTGGAACATGATCTCGGCTCACTGCAACCTCCGCCTTCCAAGTTGAAGTGATTCTCATACCTCAGGCTCCCAAGTAGCTGGGGTTACAGGTGTGCACCACCACACCCAGCTAGTTTCATACTTTTGGTAGAGACAGGGTTTCACCATATTGACCAGGCTGGTCTCGAACTCCTGGCCTCAAGCGATCCACCTGCTTTGGCCTCCCAAAGTGCTGGGATTACAGGCATGAGCCACCGTGCTTGGCCATAAGGTTTCATTAGCTAGTATTATGATACCATTTTCAATACAGAGGGTAGGAAAACACAAAATAAGGCCAATGGAACATTAAGGATTGAAAGAATCCTATCGGGTCTTCAAACACCCTGCAGGCAGAATGCACATGCGCTGTTCATCTGCATGTCTTTACTTTTTTTTCTCATTAAGAAATGCATTTTCAACAAAAGTTTAATATTTAATATTGCATATCAAAATATGCATTATATGTATGTTGGTCTAATGAATAATTTACTGCTGCTAATGATAATGATAACTTAATTCAGAGTAAAGTATTTTAATCCTAAGAGGGTTATCTTTACAGGCAACTTTTTTTTCTTTTTTTACTTTTAGTTTCGGGGTACATGTCCAGGTTTGTTACACAGGTAAACTGCATGTCACAGGGGTTTGGTGTACAGATTATTTTGTCACCCAGATAATGAACATAATGCCCCAGGAGGTGGTTTTTCTGATCCTCACCCTCCTCCCATCCTCCACCCTCAAGTAGTCCCCAGTGTCTTATGTTCCCTTCCTGGTGTATGTTCTCAATGTTTAGCTCTCACTTATAAGTAAAAACATGCGGTTTTTTTTTTTTTTTTTTTTTTTTTTTTTTTTTTTGAGATGGAGTCTTGCTCTGTCGCCAGGCTGGAGTGCAATGGTGCGATCTTGGCTCACTTCAACCTCTGCCTCCCGGGTTCGAAGTGATTCTCTGCCTCAGCTTCTCAAGTAGCTGGGACTATAGGCACACACCACCATACCCAGCTAATTTTTTTTTTTTTTTAGTAGAGACGGGGTTTCACAATGTTGCCCAGGATGGTCTCAATCTCTTAACCTTGTGATATGCCCGCCTCAGCCTCCCAAAGTGCTGGGATTACAGGTGTGAGCCACCGCACGTGGCCCCCGTATTTGGTTTTCTATTCCTGTGTTAGTTTGCTTGGGATAATGGCCTCCGGCTCCATCCATGTTGCTGCAAAAGACATGATCTTGTTCTTTTTTTTTTGAGATAGAGTCTCACTCTGTCGCCCAGGCTGGAATGCAGTGGCACGAATCTGGGCTCACTGCAACTTCCACCTCCCAGATTCAAGTAATTCTCCTGCCTCAGCCTCCCGAGTAGCTAGGATTACAGGCTCCCGCCACCATGCCCAGCTAATTTTTGGATTTTTAGTAGAGATGGGGTTTCACCATGTTGGCCAGGCTCGTCTTGAACTCCTGACCTCAGGTGATCTGTCTGCCTCGGCCTCCCAGTGCTGGGATTACAGGCATGAGCCACCATGCCCGGCCAATCTTTGTTCTTTTTTATGCATGCCTCTACTTTTATATGACTGAATGCATCTCACCATCTGAGTGCTCTCAATAACCCAGGAATTAATGAAAGTCAATTCTGGGGTGGAGGTCTCAAAACACAGAGGAATCCGTCTGAACTAAATGAACTTGACAATTATGAAAAGCCAGTTAATGAGGATGGGTGTTCCAAACCACAAAGCATATTCTGTTTCACTCATCTGCTGACGCTTGAAAAAAATACTTGCTCACAGTAAAGTATTATCACTGACAAAGGGATTTGCATCTTAGATAAACAAATAAGATGTAAGATGGAGAAAAGAGAAATCCAGCGATTCGTATTTAAGAAAGGCCTTGCCCATGTCCCATCCTTTCACATTGGGAGAGGCATGCTGCGTCCTTAGACCCGTCTGCATACGATTCCATGGAAAATTCAGTACATCTACGAGAAGCCTTTCTAGTGATTCTTTCAGAGAGGGACAGACAACCTCACAAATCCTAGGAGGGATTATTCAGCCCCAGCTTCTTACATAACTCATCTAATTGCCATCTGCACAGGCAGTTTTAACTTGTTTCATACTTCGCTTCTCTTTAAGTGCTTAACAGTGGGTAGAACTGAAAATTGAGTTTCTCAGGTGAAAATGAAACTAACGGATGACAAGAGCTGCCACTGCCTGATGATGTCTGAGAATGTCATCTCTCAAACATCTCCCAGCCATACCAGGCAGCTACAGACAGTGGGATTAGTCACCAGGGCTATGATGTGCCAGACTATTTTTCAGTAAATGATTAAGGTTTCAGATTTTCCTCTGCCCTGGAGCCTGAATTTAATACTCTATGACCTTAGCTCTTTTCATTAATGATAATAATTTGACACTTTCCCAAATAGGGTGAAAATCAGGTGCTGGACTGAAGTTTTTTAAATGCAGGAAAATGCAAGATTTGTGATGCTATCAATAAACCATATTACCAGCCTCCTTGTTAATACATAATAAAGGATACAGAATACAGCAGACAACAGTACACAGATAGTGGTATAATCTAAGTTTTATGCAAACACTTGACATCTGTCTCATACCTGGAGTAGAATTTCCCTTGCTTGGCTCTCTGTTCATGCTGCAGCCTCATGTTTTCTAGTTTGACTGGGCTTGGAATGAATCCGATTTCACAGCCTTCTTTTACCAATCGCCCTATCCACCAGTCATTGTTAAATTTCTAAACACAAAATCAAAAGCATTAAAAATCAGTGCACAGAAGGTCAAATCCTTGTTCTTCCACACTATTTTCAGTCGAGAGAAATATGGCAATGACCATTAACTATGCCTTAAATATTATCATTCAAGAAACCCTTCGGCTCATGGGTTTCACATGTAAGAAATGCATTTAGCGTCCTCAGCAATCTATCAAAGGCTCTGCGTTCCTTGTCTGTCCTGGTGCTGCCGTAGGACCAGGCTGAATTCCCTTGCAGCAGCTGCTGTCACCATGAGTAGGGATAAGCTCTCTGGGTTCAAAGAATAACAGCCCATCCTACCAAGAGATCTTTAGGAAGTACTGTTACAGAAATCTTCCCCTTATATAATCAGACCAATTGGAATTATTGAGAGAAAGAGATAAATATTGAAGTGTACCTTAAATATTTCATGTCACAGGACAATTTACCTTTGTGCAAACAGTTTTATAAATATACAATGCGATGTTCACAGATGATTTCTCTACTTGTGTGATGTTGACAATTTATGTCTTGCAGGTGGAATATGTATCTTAAATCTTTGTGATTTGCCTTCTTTTTCCTCGATTGAATAAATCTGTCCTTGAACACGTCGAAGAAGAATATACATTCTGTTTTTCTTTTCCTTTCATGGTGGAAAGATCCCCCTTTCAGCATCAATCATCAAGAAGAGACCTCATAATAATCTAACTTCCTGGTGTAAAGTGAGATTCTAGGCACAGCTGATAACTTTTTCTATTGTTCCCACCTAGCCAGTATTTGACATCTCTTTTCAGAGGTTACCAAAATGGTAGGCTCTAAATTCTCTAGGCTCTTCTATTTTTAATCAAGACAGGGTCTTGCTCTGTCGCCCAGGCTGGAGTGCAGTGACATGATCCTGGCTCACTCCTGTCTTGAATTTCCAGGCTCAATCAATCCACTGGCCTCCTGAGTAGCTAGGACTACCGGTGTATGCTACCACACCAGGTTAATTTTTTTTTTTTTTTTTTTTTTAGAGATGGGGTTTTACCCTGTTGCCCAGGCTGGTCTCCTGGGCTCAAGAGATCTGCCTTCCTCGGCCTTCCAAAATGCTTGGAAGCATGAGCCATAGTACCCAGGCTTCTAGGTTCTTAGTGCTTGGATTACAGGCATGAGCCATAGTACCCAGGCTTCTAGGTTCTTTTTTTTTTTTTTTTTTTTTTCTTTGAGACAGAATCTCACTCTGTCGCCAGGCTCGGGTGCAGTGGCGCAATCTCGGCTCACTGCAACCTCCGACTCGCTGGTTCAAGCTATTCTTCTGCCTCAGCCTCTCGAGTAGCTGAGATTACAGGCATGTGCCACTACACCCAGATAATTTTTGTATTTTTAGTGGAGACGGGGTTCACCATGTTGGCCAGGATGGTCTTCATCTCCTGACCTTGTGATCCGCCCACCTTGGCCTCCCAAAGTGTTGGGATTACAGGCATGAGCCACCGGGCCCAGCCCTAGGTTCTTTTAATCGGCAGTTATCAACTCCTTTGCTGACAGCCTTTAGTGCAGTGAAGAGTTTCGATTTACACATACTTCCTATGACATATTATATATACCCTAGATGGAAGAGCTCCAAGTATAAATTCCTTCAGGTCCAAGAAAAACCTCAGGATCACACACTGAGA
Source organism: Homo sapiens (assembly GCF_000001405.40). Classification (NCBI taxonomy): domain Eukaryota; kingdom Metazoa; phylum Chordata; class Mammalia; order Primates; family Hominidae; genus Homo; species Homo sapiens. Next base: position 18,499,164 of record NC_000010.11, on the reverse strand, counting down.
ATATTCTACAGGGGAAATTTCTGGTCAGTTTACACAGTGCTCCACAAGGCAGGCATTTGATAAATGTTGACTCCAAACAAACCTTAATTAAGGATGAAAGTTTCCAATTTGCAGGTTGTGTCATTGCTCACTAGAAGGTGGAGACATTTAGCATGTAGGAAAAGGACTTTTCCTGATACCTCTTTGTTGCCTTATTGGTGTCAATTCTTACCATTCTCTCACCCACTGCAGAAATTTAGCATTTAAGGAGGAAAAAGGTCATCAGTAGTTTGTATTGAGACACTGTCAGCAGAGAGAAGAGTCATGAATTCTAGATATTATTATTAAACCCTCCCCAGATGCCTAGACTTCAGGCATCAGGAAAAACTACACCTAGTCAAGGTGAAACATTAAAAAAAAGTATAGGTTAAGCATAAAAAAGGATCATCTACTCTAGCAGTTCCCAATTTCTGGGCCACAGAGCCCCAGGGAGCGCTGAAGTTATTGCAAGAGGCCTGTGACTTCTTTCCACTTTAAAAGGTATATTTATATTAGCAGAGGTTGAGAGCCATTGATTTAGTTATGTGTGTTATACAACTGCAGCGATGTGCAATGCTACTTCACAGAAACGGCATATGAATAGGAAATAAGAAATGGTATGTCAAGGTGAAACATCATGCTGTTAGAAAATGAAATTATTCTCCTTACTTCCTTAACATGCAGAAAATCTTTTGCTTCGAATGAGATGGCCATGCCAGGCACTGGAACATCATCTTCATGGGCCGCACTGTAGCTGACATTTGTCCGAACCGCAAATGCAACGGGCTTTGTCTAAAGTGGGAAAAGGAAGAGGGAAAAAAATAAGAGCAAAACAACACTGTCCCTCCTTTTTCCCTCAAACACAAAGACATACTGAATAACTACTGTAATCATTGTTGGTTTCCCCTCTGCACTGGTTCTTTATCACAAAACAGCTTGTTCGTATTCAAAACACTTGAAATCTCCCAGCTGTGAGCTACATAACACCCATTTCTGAACTAGAAAAAGGCCATTGTTCTCTTTGAAAGCACTACAAGTAATGAAGGTGAAGAAGAGCCACGGAAATATGTGTTTTCAACATTGGCGCTTGTAGCAACTGTAAATCAGGAAACACAAACATGAATAAAATCCCCAGTTCTTCCGTTTCAGTGGAAAGGACTTAGTCACTGCCTTGCTACCCCAAACATCTACTTTAATTAATTAATCATTAAAGACATAATTCCGAAAGGTACAATCATTGAATGAGAAAAGAGCCGGGGAAAATATGCTACAACTATAGCAACTCTCATTCATGGCTGCAACGAATTATGAAAGCAATGACTTTTTCTTCTATTATTTCTCCTACTTGAGTTTGTTCAGCTACTAAAGATATTAATTAAGATCTCTTTCCTTATTTGATGCTTTGAAATTTTACAGATAAAGGGCCAGGAGTGGTGGCTCATGCCTGTAATCCCAGCATTTTGTGAGGCCAAGGCAAGAGGATTGCTTGACCCTAGGAGTTCAAGATCAGCCTGGGCAACATAGCAAGACCTCTTCTCACTAAAAATCAAAAACAAAAATTAGGCTAGGTGTGGTGGCAGGCACCTATACTCCCAACAACTTGGGAGGCTAAGGCAAGAGGATCACTTAAGCCCAGGGGGTCTATGCTGCAGTGAGCCATGATCACGCGACTGCACTCCAGCCCGGGGGACAAAGTCAGTCCCTGTCTCAAAAAAAAGAAAAAAACAAATCAAACCAAAAGAATTTACAGATAAGCATTTATTCTCTCTTTAGCTAATACCTATTTATCCACAAGATGAAAGAAACAGGTAAGCTCAGAAATGGTGAAAATGGTATTGTTCTAAGTGGTATTGTATTTCTTTCCCATTATGGGCAAGTGGATTGCTTCTATATATTTCTTTCTTTCTTTTTTTCTTCTTTTCTTTTTTTTTTTTTTTTACAGAGTCTTACTTTGTAGCCCAGGCTGGAGTGCAGTGGTGCAATTTCAGCTCACTGCAACCTCCTCCTCTGGAGTTCAATTGATTCTCCTGCTTCAGCCTCCCGAGTAGCTTGGATTATAGGCGTGAGCCACCACGCCCAGCTAATTTTTTGTATTTTTAGAAGAGACAGGGTTTCACTGTGTTGGCCAAGCTGGTCTCGAACCCCTGACCTTGGGTGATCTGCCCGCCTCAGCCTCCCAAAGTGCTGGGATTACAGGTACGAGACACCATGCCTGGCCTCTTCTATGTATTTCTTATATACATGATATATACAAAGTAACATAGTTTTTCATGTGATATTCCTTTTAACCTACTTTTTTTTTCTTTTTTTCCTTTTTTTTTTTTTTTTTTTTGAGGCGGAGTTTCGCTCTTGTTGCCCAAGCTGGAGAGCAATGGCATGATCTCGGCTCATTGCAACCTCCGCCTCCTGCATTCAAGCGGTTCTCCTGCCTCAGCCTCCCGAGTTGCTGGGATTACAGGCACCCGCCACCACGCCCAGCTAATTTTTTGTATTTTTAGTAGAGATGGCGTTTCACCATATTGGTCAGGCTGGTCTTGAACTCCTGACCTCAGGTGATCTGCCTGCCTTGGCCTCCCAAAGTGCTGGGATTATAGGCATGAGCCACCGCGTCCGGCTTAACCTATTCTTTAAAAAAATTATTTCGACCTCTCAGGAGAAGGGAGCAGTTTCTCCCTATTCAATGCGCTCTCTACCTGGACTTGCCAGAGAAGACACAGGGGAGTTGGAGTAGAGAGAACCCATTTTCATTTCCAAATTTTCCGAAGTTAATTTGTTCTACCTGCCTCTTGTCTGGGTTAAGACTGACTTAAGATCCCTGATGTTACTATGGTCTAGTCACAATTTGCAGATTGGGAAAGGAAAACCAAATTCTGGATATAGGCACAATAGACATGAGGTGGAGTTAAATATTTGGAAGCCAGTTATTGACATTCACTGTAATTTTTTTTTTTTTTTTTTTTTGAGACTGAGTCTCACTGTGATGCCCAGGCTGGAGTGCAGTGGCACGATCCCAGCTCACTGCAACCTCTGCCTTCCAGGTTCAAGCGATTCTTCTACCCTAGCCTCCCAAGTAGCTGGGACTACAGGCACCCGCCATCATGCCTGGCTAATTTTTGTATTTTTAGTAGAGATGGAGTTTCACCATATTGGCCAGGCTGGTCTCGAATGACATCCACTTTAATTTTTAGTGATACCAGGGATCCTGCTTCTTGTGTGGAATTATGGGAATTAAAAATACACGTAAATAAATGTGTACATTTATTTACCTGTACAACTGAAACACAATCCTTGAGAGTATGATGTTTCTATTTTTTCTAGAAATGTTCTTAAGTATATAAAGTTTACTTCCAGAGCTACAATCATAACATATTGCATTTCATCCAATATTAAACATAAAAAAATGAAAAAGCAAAAAATATATATTTTTTTAAAAGGCCAGGTGCCGTGGCTCATGCCTGTAAATCCCAACACTTTGGGAGGGCATGGTGGGAGCATCACTTGAGCCCAGGAGTTTGAGACCAGCCTGGGCAACAAAGTGAGACCTCATCTCTTATACACACACACACACACACACACACACACACACACACACACACACACAGTTTTTATACTTTTAAAAATATATTTTGGCCGGGCGTGATGGCTCATGCCAGTAATCGCAGCACTTTGGGAGGCCAAGGTGGGAGGATCACCTGAGATTGGGAGTTCTAGACCAGCCTGACCAATATGGAGAAACCCCATCTCTACTAAAAATACAAAATTAGCCAGGCATGGTGGCACATGACTGTAATCCCAGCTACTCAGGAGGCTGAGACAGGAGAATCACTTGAACCCGGGAGGCAGAGGCTGCAGTGAGCAAAGATCATTGCACCACTGCACTCCAGCCTGGGTGATAGAGTGAGACTCTATCTAAAAAAAAAAAAAAAGACTCCCTCAACCATTCACCATTCACCCTTCTTTGATACTTAGGTTCACAACATTATTCAGTATGAAAAATATTCTGCTTTGAAAAATGTTTGTACAAAAGCCTCTTTCTACTTAGAATTATTTTCTTAGGATGGAGTCCCAGAGGTAGCATGTGTCAGACATGAGTTATTAAGACTTTTAAATTTTTATTCTAAACTACTGTCCAAATGGGCCACACTGTTTTATACTGTACCCAGCACTAAAGCAAGGTGCACTTTTTAGTGAGATGTAATCTTAAAAATATTTTAAAGTTTTTACATTTTATTTTTTTTAAAAAAACTTTGTAGAGACAGGGTATTGCTGTGTTGCCCAGGCTGGCCTCAAACTCCTGG